>NC_000007.14:150670500-150822016 GCF_000001405.40 Homo sapiens
ATCTTTCACCTATCAGTTTGGCAAAGATAAAATTATGAGAAATCAATATGGGAAACTAATAAAATGCTGGTGAAACTAATTTGACTAAAATTTTTATTGTAAGCAATTCAGTAATATCTTTCAAAATTACAAATGCATGTACCAATTGTATAGCAATTCTCCTTGTAGGAACCCACTCAGGTGATTTGATTATCTGTTGCTGCATAAGAAACTACTCCAAAACTCAGTGGCTTAAAACAACGTGTTTTTGTGTGTCAAGAATTTGGGCAGAGCACACTGGGTACAACTTGACTTCACTCCTTGCAGACTGGGCCTCAGTTGGAGTGGCTCAAATGGCTCTAGATGGGGTGGGGGACAGATCAATGAGGGCCACATGTGGGAGCCTCTCGTTGTCAACTGTGTCCCTAGCTTCTTCTCCACGTTGCACCTGCTGAGCCTAGAATATCCCAAATCGCTTCTACCCTCCTTCACCAAGGTAACAGACTCTTTTCCTGGTGGTTTTACTTTCCCAGGTTTATCATAGAATTGTAAAGTCAACAGAACTTAAAGGTACTATTGGTCAGCTTTATTCCCTGTTTGACTCATAATAGCCAGGAAAACAGATTGTGTGTGAGAAGCAGGTTCTCAGATGCTCAGAGATCTTTATAAAGCCCTGACTCACCCACAACTCTTTGCCTTCATGGCCTGCTGAGTCTTTTACAATGCCACCCCATTACATCTCACAGTAGAGGAATCCCTTGCTCCGAATGTCATACATCCCAAAAAAAGTTACATAGCAAAATTCCACAATAGGGGTTCTATATTTCATCATTTAAAGGGGAAAAGCTGCAGTACATTTCTAGCCCATCCAAAAACCCCAACAATTTCCTCCAGATATCACTAAAACACTTTTAAACAATCAAAGCAATATAATAAAAATCACCAATGATTTCTGCAAAATGTAAGGCCATTAAATGCCAATCAGCTAATTGTTTAGCTGATTATTTGCCAGTGATTTAACACTACACTCATATCTGTCTGCAGTAAGCAATGATATAAATGCAAACATTCTTTTCTACTACACTTCTACAAGCATTCAGAAAAATTGATTAAATACAAAAATAGGTTCATATAGATAACAAAATCAAATTTCACTCACAAATTTAAAAAAGGATTATTTACTAATTAGAATTGCCTAAATGAGGTTTAGAGGAGAGGAGAGGGAGACCGGAGTCCTCACGGTGGCTGTTCAGCGGGGTGAGTGTGTGGGATGAGCTGATAAAGGAGGAGGTGGAATTGTTCACTCCTGGGGTTTGTCCATATCCAGTTCCAAGGGACTGGGAACTGTCTTTATGGCATTTGACCCTCCAGAAGGAGATGACTGTGGCCTGTTGTCTGAAATCATAGTCAAAGCAATGTGATGGGAAAAACTCAAAATGGCCATGTCTTTGTGTTTCCTCTGCTTGAAAGCATACGGACCCCTGGGTAATAATGTAACACTGTGCTTGAGATTGCATCATATAGTGGAATGCTTCTGTTGATGACTTTTGTATGATTTTAAAGTTTCTTTTATTATTATTATTATACTTTAAATTCTGGGATACATGTGCACAACGTGCAGGTTTGTCACATAGGTATACACGTGCCATGCTGATTTGCTGCACCCATCAACCCGTCATCTACATTAGGTACTTCTCCTAATGCTATCCCTCCCCTAGCCCCCCACCCCGCAACAGGCCCCAGTGTGTGATGTTCCCCTCCCTGTGGCCATGTGTTCTCTTTGTTCAACTCCCACTTATGAGTGAGAACATGCGGGGTTTGGTTTTCTATTCCTGTGTCAGTTTGCTGAGAATGATTATTTCCAGCTTCATCAACATCCCTGTAAAGAGCATGAACTCATCCTTTTTATGGCTGTATAGTATTCCGTGGTGTATATGTGCTGCATTTTCTTTATCCAGTCTATTATTGATGGGCATTTGTGTTGGTTCCAAGTCTTTGCTATTGTGAACAATGCTGCAATAAACATGTGTGTGCATGTGTCTTTATAGTAGAAAGATTTATAATCCTTTGGGTATATACCCAGTAATGGGATTGCTGGGTCAAATGATATTTCTGGTTCTAGATCCTTGAGGAATCGCTACACTGTCTTCCACAATGATTGAACTAATTTACACTTGCACCAACAGTGTAAAAGCGTTCCTATTTCTCCACATCCTCTCCAGCATCTGTTGTTTCCTGACTTTTTAATGATCATCATTCTAACTGGCGTGAGATGGCATCTCATTGTGGCTTTGATTTGCATTTCTCTAATGACCAGTGATGATGAGCTTTTTTTCATGTTTGTTGGCTGCATAAATGTCTTATTTTGAGAAGTGTTTGTTCATATCCTTTGCCCACTTTTTGATGGGGTTGTTTTTTTCTTGTAAATTTGTTTAAGTTCTTTGTAGATTCTGGGTATTAGCCCTTTCTCAGATGGATAGATTGCAAAAATTTTTAAATTCAAAAATGTACTCAATTAATCTTTAAGATTATTCTGCAAGATTGACTCCTTCTTGCAACTCTGAGCATTGGTTTGAACTGAATTCTCTGGCAGTAAGTCCTTTGCTATGTAAGGCTCATAGCTCTTCACATTCTTCACTGTACATGTCACCAATTCAGACCTCTTCAAAAAGATCCAAAAAAAAAAAAGATCCAAGAAGGGTTTTTCTGTTGGTGATGTTGGTGTTGGTGTTGTTATTGTGTTGCTTTGCAGTCATCACTTCATGAAACTTTGGAAATCAGCAATAAATTGTCCCTTTCTCATAGAAGAACTTTCACTTAATAATGTGGAGAAAATGATTCCAACAATTAAAAACCAATTTAGACAACGTGGGAACAAGACAGGATCTTGTCAGGAAACAACTGAGATATGACTGCAGTTTACTTCACTTTCACCCTACAGACTCAAGGGCAATATCCATGTTTTACTGGTGTACACAACCAGATTTGCTTCAGTGGAGTTTCAATTCAAATAATGAATTTTGGGTGAAATCAATTGAAAGTTATTTATGGCAAATATTTAAATTTGGGGAGTTTAAATAGTGAGGGAGAGCTTGAAGTTAAACATCTCCTGAATTCTTAATTATTCCAAAATATAATGATGAATTGAAAACTGCCTAGTAAGTCAGGAAGCTAAACAAGCCTAAAAGAAGTCACTGCAATTTTTTTTTTTTTACGAAATTTTCCTGGACTAAATTCTTTTTCTTTTCGTTTTTTATTATTATTATTGTACTCTAAGTTTTACAGTACATGTGCACAACGTGCAGGTTTGTTACATAAGTATACATATGCCATGTTGGTGTGCTGCACCCATTAACTCATCATTTAGCATTAAGTATATCACATAATGCCATCCCTCCCCCCTTCCCCCACCCCACATCAGTCTCCGGTGTGTGATGTTCCCCTTCCTGTGTCCATGTGTTCTCATTCTTCAATTCCCACCTCTAAGTGAGAACATGCGGTGTTTGGTTTTTTGTCCTTGCAATAGTTTGCTGAGAATGATGGTTTCCAGCTTCATCCATGTCCCTACAAAGGACATGAACTCATCATTTTTTATGGCTGCATAGTATTCCATGGTGTATATGTGCCACATTTTCTTAAAGGACCAGTCTATCATTGCTGGACATTTGGGTTCGTTCCAAGTTTTGCTATTGTGAATAGTGCTGCAATAAACATACGTGTGCATGTGTCTTTATAGCAGCATGATTTATAATACTTTGGGTATATACCCAGTAATGGGATGGCTGGGTCAAATGGCATTTCTAGTTCTAGATACCTGAGGAGTCGCCACATTGACTTCCACAATGGTTGAACTAGTTTACAGTCCCACCAACAGTGTAAAAGGGTTCCTATTTCTCCACATCCTCTCCAGCACCTGTTGTTTCCTGACTTTTTAATGATCGCCATTGTAACTGGTGTGAGATGGTATCTCATTGTGGTTTTGATTTGCATTTCTCTGATGGCCAGTGATGATGAGCATTTTTTCATGTGTTTTTTGGCTGCATAAATGCCTTCTTTTGAGAAGTGTCTGTTCATATCCTTCGCCCACTTTTTGACGGGGTTGTTTGTTTTTTTCTTGTAAATTTGTTTGAGTTCATTGTGGATTCTGGATATTAGCCCTTTGTCAGATGAGTAGGTTGCAAAAATTTTCTCCCATTCTGTAGGTTGCCTGTTCACTCTGATGGTAGTTTCTTTTGCTGTGCAGAAGCTCTTTAGTTTAATTAGATCCCATTTGTCAATTTTGGCTTTTGTTGCCATTGCTTTTGGTGTTTTAGACATGAAGTCCTTGCCCATGCCTATTTCCTGAATGGTATTGCCTATGTTTTCTTTTAGGATTTTTATGGTTTTAGGTCTAGCATGTAAGTCTTTAATCCATCTTGAATTAATTTTTTATAAGGTGTAAGGAAGGGATCCAGTTTCAGCTTTCTACATATGGCTAGCCAGTTTTCCCAGTGCCATTTATTAAATAGGGAATCCTTTCCCCATTGCCTGTTGGCCACCATAGCTTCAAGTCAACACTGCAAGGTCTACTGGGTATTGGAGCATGCATTAAACACCTTTGGTCTTTCTTCTATTTGTGTTTTCACTGGGTAATGAGGTTCTCACGGGCACCACCTTTGGCTCCACTGGATGTTCATCCCTTCCTTCCTGGGTTTCCTATTTTGCAAATGGTGCCATAATCTGTCCAGTTGTCCATGCCAGAAGCCTTGACTCTTTCTTCCAATAAATAATAAAAGAGTTGTGTATTATAAAGGCTTCATATCTCTCTGGAGCATCCACTTTTTTTTTTCCTTATCTCTACTTGAGTTATGGTCACCATCATTTCTGGACTGGATTGTTGCAACTTCTTCTTTGGATTGAACCTGTTTCAAGGCTTGCTTCTCTCAAATTACCTTTCACACTGCAACCATAATGCTATATATTTATAAGACAAATATAATTGTGAGATGATGTCAGTGGGAATAGCAGAATAATGCCCTCCAAAAATCTCCACAAAAATAGAGAACACTGTCAAAAAATAGTCAGAATCAACTCTTTGTTTTTTGTTTTTGTTTTTATTTTTGTTTTTCAGAACTCTGTGTATCAACCCAACGCTTGAAGTAATATAGAGAGTGTTCATTCAAGAAAAATAGTAAGAATAGTGAGTTCTGTCATGTTTCAACCTGCCCCTTTCTCATTACCCCCACTCTGCAGTAACCTTGAAAACCAAAAAACTAAAATCACTATGAAAACTAGCAGCCTGGAAGCCACTGAAGGCAGCTGAATGGAGTTAGAGCCCCTTAAAAGTCCCATTTCTAAAACAATGTCATTATTTGACCTGTCTAGTGGTGCCCTGGGAGATCCCACTTACAACTCAGGAATGGAAAACCAAATAGTGTATTTTCTCATTTCTTAGTGGGAGCTAAGCTATGCGGATGCAAAGGCATGAGACCGATATAATGGACAGAGGAACTGGGAGGGGGGAAGATTGGGAGGGGGATGAAGGATAAAAGATGATACATTGGGTCCTGTGTACTCTGCTTGGGTGATGGGTGCACTAAAATCTCAGAGAACACCACTACATAACTAATCCATGTAACCAAAAACCACCTGTACCCCAAAAACTATTGAAATAAAAATAAAAATTTAAAAAGGAACAAGGTAATGAAAAAGAATAAATATAGTACTAGTTTAAAAGAAAGAAAAATCCTGAAATCTTCCCCACTGTTTCTAAGAGTCCTCTTTTTCCTCAGCCTTTTCTTTACCTCCTCAGTCCTACAGAATTATGCACTGTTTCTTTGTTGGTGCAAGACTCCAAAAGCCTAAAATGTGGTGTTTTTACTGTTACTTAAAAAAAAAAAAAAACACCCTGGTATTCACACACACAATTATTCCTATTTGACTTTTCCTTTACTGTTGTTTCAGTTTCAGGAACTTTTACTGAAGATTCTGCAGAGAACATGCAGAGTCAGCATGCAGCCTTCCTTCCTGATTTTGATCACTCTTCCTTTTGCTCCTTCCTCTTTTAAAAAAATGTAAGATGCTTTTATTGGTGTCTTTGAGAGTCTGTTCTTTAGTGGATAATAATATCTCTGTTTTAGTCTGTCAAGCTTTGGTTAAAAAAACTCATTCCTACCCCCTTCCACATTATATTGAAAGGTGGAAAAAGTCCATTTAATAAACATTTAAAAACCCCATATATTCAGAACATTGGATGCATTATAAATGATCATCAAGTGTGGGCGTAAGAATGTTTAGAGTACCCCATCAGGTTTAAAGAGAAGATATATTTACACTGATTTCTGGCATGCAATTTATGTTCTTTAAATATCTAAAAGACTCATTTCTAAATCTTCTAGCTCCTGGAGAAGGGCTGTCTCTTTTTGAATTTTCTACAGCTGCTTTTTTTCCCAGCTGTTTGCCAGTTGCTGCTTGTTATTTCAGTTGTTTGATTGTTTTCAGTTTCTTAGGTTCTCATGTTTTCCCCGCTATCTTAAAATCTCTTCATGTTGGCTGAGAGAACAAATTTTGGGGTGTGTTTCCTGTTTTGCAGTGACTGGCTTCATGCTTCCTTTGTTCTTAGGGGATGTTTTGGGAAATGGCTTGTTATTTGCCCTTGTAGTTTCATATTCTCTGCGGCCCCTCCTCATGCAGCTTAAGATCAACGACTTGTTCATTTCTTCTAACTGGAGTTCTAAAAGTCATTGCAATATTGGCTCCTCACAGGGTACTTAGAACTGCTTGATAAGTTATTGATCTTATTGGAAATACTATGTCCAGAATTTTTCACTAAGGATTTCTGCATTTGATGGCGTGATATTCTTGTGCAAGATAGAGCTAGTATAATGGAAAATCTCGCACCCATTATTAACACATAACCTGGGGGCACATGTAGTAGTTGTTGCAAGACAGGTTCAGTATGCAAGTATCAGTCATGTATTACACCATATTAATAGAATGAAGGACAAAAATTGCATGATCATCTCACTGGATGCAGAAAAAACATTGTACAGCTCTTTATCTGGGCACCAAGCAAAGTATGTAAAATTTGAAGCCATAGGTTTGGAAATAAGTTTGTGGTTTTTAACACCCCACAATTTGTCCCCTTGATTTCCAAACCCCTGCAGTAGTAATATGTATGAATACAGTGGTAATATGTATGAAGGCTATAGTAGACTGTATTACAAGAGCCAGTTCCAAAGTCAAGTTTACAATCACACAGCAAGTAGAGAATTGCTGCTTTGACAAGAGTTTTCCTAGAGGGCCCAACTCATTATAAATGGGATCACTCTTCAGTATTTACATTATAGCATTTTATTTGTTGCAATATAGAAACATGTTTGTTATTGACAGTAGAAAACTATGGTTTTGTCAACATCTGCACTACCTATTACCAACTCACCAGTAGCTTTTAGATTGTATTTTAGTTCTCACTACTAATGTTACTTTGCCTCAAACCAGGAAACAGGCACCATCTTGGAAGCAAGGAGTAAGCCTTTACCAGGCACAGAATCTATTGTAAGATACTATTTGTAGAATAATATATTCAGTGAAAATATATTTCAAAATGAGACATTAAGGTTGAAACAGACATTAAGGTTGAAAAAGAAGGAGTTGCTGTGAATACAATCACACTTCAAGATAAGAAAATTTTCCTTCCTTCCTTCCTTCTTTCTTTCTTTCTCTTCTTTTTCTTCTTTCTTTTTTTCACATTTATTCCCCTTTTATTAACTGATTTGAAAGGCAACTTTAAAAAACAATGTGTATATTATTGTATTGTAGAATCTATAACATAGAAAAATATAATGTTTACTAGTAAAAGCACAGAGAAGGTGATGGGAATAAAGCTATATTGGAGTAAGAAAATGACAAGATGGGGGAGGAGCCAGTGGCCGAATAGGAACAGCTCCAGTCTACAGCTCCTAGCATGAGCGACGCAGAAGACGGGTGATTTCTGCATTTCTAACTGAGGTACTGGGTTCATCTCACTGGGGAGTGCAGGACAGTGGGTGCAGCACACTGTGCGTGAGCCAAAGCAGGGCAAGGCATTGCCTCACCTGGGAAGTGCAAGGGGTCAGGGAATTCCCTTTCCTAGTCAAAGAAAGGGGTGACAGACAGCACCTGGAAAATCGGGTCACTCCCACCCTAATACTGAGCTTTTCCAATGGGCTTAACAAACAGCACACGAGGAGATTATATCCCACGCCTGGCTCGGAGGGTCCCACGCCCACGGAGTCTCGCTCATTTCTAGCACAGCAGTCTGAGATCAAACTGCAAGGCAGCAGCGAGGCTGGGGGAGGGGCGCCCGCCATTGCTGAGGCTTGAGAAGGTAAACAAAGCAGCCAGAAAGCTCAAACTCGGTGGAGCCCACCACAGCTCTAGGAGGCCTGCCTGCCTCTGTAGGCTCCACCTCTGGGAGCAGGGCACAGACAAACAAAAGGCAGCAGTAACCTCTGCAGACTTAAATGTCCCTGTCTGACAGCTTTGAAGAGAGTAGTAGTTCTCCCAGCACGCAGCTTGAGATCTGAGAATGGGCAGACTGCCTCCTCAAGTGGGTCCCTGACCCCCGAGTAGCCTAACTGGGAGGCATACCCCAGGAGGGGCAGACTGACATCTTACACGGCCGGGTACTCCTCTGCAACAAAACATCCAGAGGAACGATCAGGAAGCAGCAATTGCGGTTCACCAATATCCACTGTTCTGCAGCCACCGCTGCTGATACCCAGGCAAAGAGGGTCTGGAGTGGACCTCCAGCAAACTCCAACAGACCTGCAGCTGAGGGTCCTGACTGTTAGAAGGAAAACTAACAAACAGAAAGGATATCCACACCAAAAACCCATCTGTACGTCACCATCATCAAAGACCAAAGGTAGATAAAACCACAAAGATGGGGAAAAAAACAGAGCAGAAAAACTGGAAACTCTAAAAATCAGAGAGCCTCTCCTCCTTCAAAGGAATGCAGCTCCTCACCAGCGACGGAACAAAGCTGGATGGAGAATGACTTCGACGAGTTGAGAGAAGAAGGCTTCAGATGATCAAACTACTCCGAGCTAAAGGAGGAAGTTCGAACCCATGGCAAAGAAGTTAAAAACCTTGAAAAAAAATTAGATGAATGGCTAACTAGAATAACCAATGCAGAGAAATCCTTAAAAGACCTGATGGAGCTGAAAGCCAAGGCACAAGAACTACATGATGAATGCACAAGCCTCAGTGGCCTATTCGATAAACTGGAAGAAAGGGTATCAGTGGTGGAAGATGAAATGAATGCAATTAAGTGAGAAGAGAAGTTTAGAGAAAAAAGAATAAAAAGAAATGAACAAAGCCTCCAAGAAATATGGGACTATGTGAAAAGACTACATCTACATCTGAATGGTGTACCTGAAAGTGACGGGGAGAATGGAGCCAAGTTGGAAAACACTCTGCAGGATATTATCCAGGAGAGCTTCCCAATCTAGCAAGGCAGGCCAACATTCAAATTCAGGAAATACAGAGAATGCCACAAAGATACCCCTCAAAAAGAGCAACTCCAAGACACATAATTGTCAGGTTCACCAAAGTTGAAATGAAGGAAAAAATGTTAAGGGCAGCCAGAGAGAAAGATCCGGTTACCCACAAAGGGAGGCCCATCAGACTAACAGTTGATCTCTCGGCAGAAACTCTACAAGCCAGAAGAGAGTAGGGGCCAATATTCAACATTCTTTTTTTTTTTTTTTTATTCACCGTGAAATTATTTATTTATTTATTTATTTATTTTTTATTAAAGAAAAGAATTTTCAACCCAGAAGTTCATATCCAGCCAAAATAAGCTTCATAAGTGAAGGAGAAATAAAATACTTTACAGACAAGCAAATGCTGAGATTTTGTCACCACCAGGCCTGCCCTAAAAGAACTCCTGAAGGAAGCCTGAAACATGGAAAGGAACAACCAGTACCAACCACTGCAAAAACATGCCAAATTGTAAAGACCATCAAGGCTAGGAAGAAACTGCATCAACTAACGAGCAAAATAACCAGCTAACATCATAATGACAGGATCAAATTCACACATAACAATATTAACCTTAAATGTAAATGGGCTAAATGCTCCAATTAAAAGACACAGACTGGCAATTTGGATATAGAGTCAAGACTCATCAGTGTGCTGTATTCAGGAAACCCATCTCACGTGCAGAGACACACATAGGCTCCAAATAAAGGGATGGAGGAAGATCTACCAAGCAAATGGAAAACAAAAAAAGGCAGGGGTTGCAATCCTAGTATCTGATAAAACAGACTTTAAGCCAACAAAGATCAAAAGAGACAAAGAAGGCTATTACATAATGGTAAAGGGATCAATTCAACAAGAAGAGCTAACTATCCTAAATATATATGCACCCAATACAGGAGCACCCAGATTCATAAAGCAAGTCCTCAGTGACCTACAAAGAGACTTAGACTCCCACACAATAATAATGGGAAACTTTAACACCCCACTGTCAACATTAGACAGAACAATGAAACAGAAAGTTAACAAGGATATCCAGGAATTGAACTCAGCTCTGCGCCAAGTGGACCTAATAGACATATACAGAACTTTCCACCCCAAATCAACAGAATATACATTTTTTTCAGCACCACACCACACCTATCCCAAAATTGACCACAGAGTTGGAAGTAAAGCCCTCCTCAGCAAATGTAAAAGAACAGAAATTATAACAAACTGTCTCTCAGACCACAGTGCAATCAAACTAGAACTCAGGATTAAGAAACTCACTCAAAACTGCTCAAATACATGGAAACTGAACAACCTGCTCCTGAATGACTACTGGGTACATAACAAAATGAAGGCAGAAATAAAGATGTTCTTTGAAACCAATGAGAACAAAGACACAACATACCAGAATCTCTGGGACACATTCAAAGCACTGTGTAGAGGGAAATTTATAGCACTAAATGCCCACAAGAGAAAGGAGGAAAGATCTAAAATTGACACCCTAACATCACAATTAAAAGAACTAGAGAAGCAAGAGCAAACACATTCAAAAGCTAGCAGAAGACAAGAAATAACTAAGATCATAGCAGAACTGAAGGAAATAGAGACACAAAAAACCCTTCAAAAAAATCAATGAATCCAGGAGCTGGTTTTTTGAAAAGATCAAGAAAATGATAGACCACTAGCAAGACTAATAAAGAAGAAAAAAGAGAAGAATCAAATAGATGCAATAAAAAATGATAAAGGGGATATCACCACCGATCTCACAGAAACACAAACTACCATCAGAGAATACTACAAACACCTCTACGCAAATAAACTAGAAAATCTAGAAGAAATGGATAAATTCCTCGACACATACACTCTCCCAAGACTAAACCAGGAAGAAGTTGAATCTCTGAATAGACCAATAACAGGCTCTGAAATTGAGGCAATAATTAATAGCTTACCAACCAAAAAAAAGTCCAGGACCAGATGGATTCACAGCCGAATTCTACCAGAGGTACAAGGAGGAGCTGGTACCATTCCTTCTGAAACTATTTCAATCAATAGAAAAAGAAGGAATCCTCCCTAACTCATTTTTTGAGGCCAGCATCATCCTGATGCCAAAGCCTGGCAGAGACACAACAAAAAAAGGGAATTTTAGACCAATATCCTTGAACATTGATGCAAAAATCCTCAATAAAATACTGGCAAACCGAATCCAGCAGCACATCAAAAAGCTTATCCACCATGATCAAGTGGGCTTCATCCCCGGGGTGCAAGGCTGGTTCAACATATGAAAATCAATAAACATAATCCAGCATATAAACAGAACCAAAGACAAAAACCACATGATTATCTCAATAGATGCAGAAAAGGCCTTTGACAAAATTCAACAGCCCTTCATACTAAAAACTCTCAATAATTTATGTATTGATGGGACGTATCTCAAAATAATAAGAGCTACCTATGACAAACCCACAGCCAATATCATACTGAATGGGCAAAAACTGGAAGCATTCCCTTTGAAAACTGGCACAAGAGAGGAATGCCCTCTCTCACCACTCCTATTCAACATGGTGTTAGAAGTTCTGGTCAGGGCAATCAGGCAGGAGAAGGAAATAAAGGGTATTCAATTAGGAAAAGAGGAAGTCAAATTGTCCCTGTTTGCAGATGACATGATTGTATACTTAGAAAACCCCGTCTTCTCAGCCCAAAATCTCCTTAAGCTGATAGGCAACTTCAGCACTCTCAGCATACAAAATCAATGAGCAAAAATCACAAGCATTGTTATACACCAATAACAGACAAACAGAGAGCAAAATCATGAGTGAACTCCCATTCACAATTGCTTCAAAGAGAATAAAATACCTAGGAATCCAACTTACAAGGGATGTGAAGGACCTCTTCAAGGAGAACTACAAACCACTGCTCAATGAAATAAAAGAGGATACAAACAAATGGAAGAACAATCCATGTTCATGGGTAGGAAGAATCAATATCATGAAAATGTCCATACTGCCCAAGGTAATTTATAGATTCAATGCCATCCCCACCATGACTTTCTTCACAGAATTGGAAAAAACTACTTTAAAGTTCATATGGAACCAAAAAAGAGCCTGCATCGCCAAGTCAATCCTAAGCCAAAAGAACAAAGCTGGAGGCACCACGCTACCTGACTTCAAACTATACTACAAGGCTGCAGTAACCAAAACAGCATGGTACTGGTACCAAAACAGAGATATAGACCAATGGAACAGAACAGAGCCCTCAGAAATAATTCCACGTATATACAACTATCTGATCTTTGACAAACCTGACAAAAACAAGCAATGGGGAAAGTCACCGCAATTTTTAAATTCACAGTAACAAGCCTCCCCTCCCCATGTTTTGGAATTTTGGGATGTTAAATCCACTTGTTCCTTTTGTTTTGCAATTTCTCATCATATCTTTACCTGTGCACCCCCTCCTTTTACATACACAATGTTTTGTATCATCTTATTGAGAATGATATACTCTATAATTGCACTGTTCAAAACGGTAACCACTAGCCACATGTGGCCGTTTAATTATATGATTTAAAATTAAAATGTAAAATTCAGTTTCTCCATCACATTGGCCACCTTGCTAGTGCTCAACAGCCACATGTGCTAGTGGCTGCCATATTGGACAGGGCAGACAGTAAACATGTCCATCACAGAATTCTCTATTGAACAGTACTGCTTTATAAATAAACACTTTACAAGAAACCACAGAACAATTGTCAAATACATCTCAATATGACTGCAGGAAATCTGTGGTCTATTCTTTCGGCTTGACCCATTTTCCAAAATTGCCTTGAACCATGGGAATAAAATGAATTTTAAAATGTCATAGTACTCTAAAACATGCACCTCTACTCAGCCCCTGCCCTCTCCTTCCTCACCTCCTCCCAACATCTATCTTACTCCTCCTTTAAGGCTGTAGTCACATCACTTACTAGAACCATGGGACATAGGGGAAATGTTCCATGTATGCTCATGTTCAGAAGGGACAGGAGTGAGAAGGCTTGAACAAGAAATTTCATGAGGGAGATATTTAAAACTGTGCTTGGAAGTCTCTACAGATGATCTAAAAGATGAAGCAGGAGAAGCAATATTTGCATCTCCAAACCTAGAGGAACAGTGCAAAAACAGAAGGACCTATCTCCAGTTGCTGGGAGTGAGACCAGTTGTTAGCTCTCAGCTGTTGAGCCGTCAGACCTGTCCAGAAATTAGCTTATGCTGAAGAGAGATGCCCTATGTAAGTCAAGTGTCTTTTCCAGAGGAAGTTTGCATCCGATGGGGATTATAAAGTTCTGCTCACTCTCCTTCATTCTGAAAGTCCAACCAAACTTTAGAACTCCCTGTAGAGTCTATATTTGTTGTGACTACATCTCAGTCTCACTTCTCCCTGCCTAATCCTGGGTTCTTCCCTTCTCCCTCTAGCACATTTCCTGAGAAGATTCCCTAATAAACTTCCTTCATCCATTTTATCTTCATCTCAACAGTCTGTATTCCTAGGAACCCAAACCTTTGCACATGTACATGTACATATCACTTATGTTAGGAAACGCAGTGATGTAATTTGCAATATTAGTAGGTCAAAAGGAAAAAGACATGGAATTATATCAGTCAACGTCAAAATAAAATTTTCTAAATTTATACCACAGATAAAAGACTTTAATGAAATAGGACTAAGCAAAGTATAGCCACACTGATTTTAAAATAAACTAATTAATTTCCAATAACCAACATCAATATTAATGATAAGATATTAGGTGCCCTACAGGTAAATAAATAATAAAAGCACATTAACTCACTTTTGAAAAGGTAGCAAGCAATTGTAATTATACAAGAGAAAGCAACATAAGATATTTTTGGAAACAAGGAGGGAAAATTATCACTATTTGCAACTGAGTCTATGATAAACCTGGAAACTCCAAGACAATCAAAAGGAAATGTTTTAAATGCTAGGATGTGGAGAAATAAGAACACTTTTACACTGTTGGTGGGACCGTAAACTAGTTCAACCATTGTGGAAGTCAGTGTGGCGATTCCTCAGGCATCTTGAACTAGAAATACCATTTGACCCAGCCAACACTCCAGAGTATTACTATAGACATTTCCTAGACAATTTCTCCCCACAGGGAGGTTCTCTGAAATTACAGAGCTGGACAGGGAAGAAAGGCCCAGAATCCTAGAAGCCATGAATGAGTTATGTAAAAATGTTTTGATGGTTAATGATCCTTACAATCAGACTCAGACAAAAATGTCCCCTCTCAGGTTCCCCTTTCTGTGCCCTTCTTCCCCTGGGCAGTGCCTATCAGAGGCTCCTCTTCTCTCCCAGTGGCATCTGCTTTAGAACAATCCCTGCTGCTGGTGTCAATGAGGTTTAAGCCCTTCTCAGGGGGCCATTTGCATCTAGACAAACTTCTAACTGTTGGGACATATCCCAGCTGGGAAGGACTGAAATCCACCAACTTCCTTGGCATTCATGCCTTTCTTTCCAGTCCAGATGAAATCATTAAAACACTCTTTTTTCACTTTTGAGAAGAAGAGACAGTTGGCCCACATGACAGCAAATAACTACTGATTAACTTTCCATTTAAACTGTTTATTTTGCATAATGGCATGAAAGAGAATTTCAAACACAGGCACGTGGTGGCGTTCATTAGCAGTCAGGAAGCTCAGGAAGATTCAAGAGAGGAAGAAGACCGACTGGAGTCTCGGTTTTACTTTCTTTTTCTCTTGGAGCTGAGCTATAAGACAACAGGACTGAACAGGGAGCCAACTGTTTCTTTGAACAGTAAATCAGGTAAGCCCAGATTTACGAAAAGTTCTGCAGTGTTGATTTCTAGGTCCCAAGCCATGCACAAACATTTTCATTTTTCTTAGAACAAATTTGTCCTATTTTAAGAGAAGCAATTTAGAGTGACTGCCTTTTCCTTAAGTGGAGCCAGTTTACAGGAAACCGATGTAATTTACTTTACACATTACTGGCAAAGAAAGAATTTCCATAGTATAAAGTCAATAAAAAGTGCTAACTGGGAAGAATTTGGGCATTAATCGGTGGCTTTCAGTTTTCTGTGCTTGTACGCTTGGTCTATGCCTGCCAGATTTAAGCAAGAGAAACTAGCTGATGAAAACGTACCGATATTTCTCACTCCATAGTAGTTCCTACATTGCAAGGGCTTCATAACCAGGGGCTGTTGGGGAATGAGAAAAATTCAAGCCATTAATGGATCAAGTGAAGTGTATTTCCAGCTTAAAGGACTGCACGGTTTCCCAGAGTCATAATCTTCATTCACTGAGTCTCTCAGCAAAGACTCAACATGAGGGAGGAGGTTTGGAGAGAGTAGAGGAGGGAAGGAGGCAAGGTGGGAAAAGAAAGAGAGGGAAAGGGAGGACTGAGCCTAAGGTGTAAGGGAAGGCACACCTACAGAGAAAGCTGACAGAAGCGAAGAGTGTGCAGGCAAAACAAAAACAGAAGGGAGCCGGGCTGATCTGTGAGAGGACGGGAGGAAGAAAGCGAGAGAGAGCTGGGCATGAGGCTTACAAATGAAACCCACTTCTCAGCCCCTCAGCAAGTGATTCCAGTTCTCTGTAAAGTAGGAAGTCATTCCTTTCCCACCCACCTTGTCCCTTATGAGTAGACAAATGAAACATGGTTGTTTAGAAATATAAGGATCTTGGCCTAGTGTGATGGCTCACGCTTTTAATTCCAGAACTTTGGGAGGCCGAGGCTGGTGGATCATTTGAGGTCAGGAGTTTGAGACCAGCCTGGCCAACATGGTGAAACCCTGTCTCTACTAAAACTACAAAAATTAGATGGGCATGGTGGTGCACACCCATAATCCCAGCTACTCGGGAGGCTGAGGCAGGAGAATCACTTGAACCCAGGATGTGGAGGTTGCAGTGAGCCGAGATCGCACCACTGCACTCCAGCCTGGGTGACAGAGTGAAACTGTGTCTCAAAAAAAAAAAAAAAAAAAAGAAAGAAAGAAAAAGAAAAGAAAAGAAATATAAGAATTTTTCATGATTTAGAACTGAAAAATAAGTTTCTTGTCTCTCTGTTTCTCAGGAACACCAATGGACCAAAATGAACACAGTCACTGGGGTAAGAAGGTGACTTCACGTGTGTGTGTGTGTGTGTGTGTGTGTGTGTGTGTGTGTGTGTGTGTGTGTTTGGCTCTTCTGATGATGTTGGGGCAAAATAAACAAGGGTGAAGGATCTTATTCTAACTCCCACAGCTACCACCACCAGCAGCTGAAAATTGTGGGGTTTTGTTTTCTTTGTTTGTTTGTTTGTTTGTTTGTTTTGAGACAGTGTCTCTCTCTGTCACCCAGGCCGGAGTGCAGTGGCGCAATCTCGGCTCACTGCAACCTCCACCTCCCAGGTTCAAGTGATTCTCCTGCCTCAGCCTCCCAAGTAGCTGGGACTAAAGGCACACACCACCACGCCCAGCTAATTTTTTTTTGTATTTTTAGTAGAGACGGGGTTTCACCATATTGGTCAGGCTGGTCTCAAACTCCTGACCTTGTGATCCACCCGCCTCAGCCTCCCAAAGTGCTGGAATTACAGGCATGAACCACCAAGTCTGGCTCGAAAATTGTTAAAATACTCACCAGGATCCAAAATATGCATCCAGGCTTTTCCCTTATGCACAAATCTTTCAGATCTCTTTGAAATACTCCTTCTCCTACCATTCAGTCTTCTCTTCCTTCTCTCACATTTCCATAGGTTCTTTGTGTGTGTGTGTGTGTGTCTCTCTCTCTGTCTTTCTGTCTGTCTCTATCATTCCCTTCTCTTCCCTTGTCCTTTCTCTCTCTCTCCTCTTCTTGCACCTGTTTCTGCTATCTGTATGGTATGGGCGTCTCTCTCTCTGTATCTTGACCTCCCCTTTCCCACTCCCTCCTCCTCACTCTCTGCCCCTCGACAGCCCTGTCTTCAGTCTCTTACATCAAGAAGAGCCCAGATCTTCCTCCTTACCAAGTTGCCTTCACACTCAACCCTCACCTGTGAGAAATAGGAGGTCTCTGGCTTCATTGTGTATGGAACTTGTTTATTGATCAAGCTGAACTCTGAGATCCAAATGAGAAACAACTTTTTTTTTCCTCCCAGCCACTGACTCTTATTATGCAATCTTGATTTCCTTTTGTTTTGGTTGCGGGGTGGAGGGAATGGAGTCTGGCTCTGTGGCCCAGGCTGGAGTGCATTGGTGCAATCTCAGCTCACTGCAACCTCTGCCTCTCAGGTTCAAGTGATTCTCCTGCCTCAGCCTCCTGAGTAGCTGGGATTACAGGCATGTGTCATCATGCCTGGCTAATTTTTATATTTTTAGTAGAGACAGGGTTTCACCATGTTGGCCAGGCTGATCTCAAATTCCTGACCTCAAGTGATCTGCCCACCTCAGCCTCCCAAAGTGCTGGGATTACAGGCGTGAGCCACCACGCCCGGCCACAATCTTGATTTATTGATGCCATCTCAGGCAGTTGCCTTTCTGATTAATAGAGACTAGAAGAATAGTCTATTAAAGTCACTATGACACATGTATCAGGTGTTGTACTGTTCGGTGCCGTCTAACATCAAACTTACATTCAATTTGAGTTTCTCCTTCCTCTACCTCAGCCTCAGCCTGAACTCTGGTACCTTCCAAAAGTCCTCCTCTCCCTTCCAGCTCTGCCCCCTCAACCCTCATGCTAGTCCCTCCTTCCCCATCAGGCAGGAGGATGGGTGACTGGAGAAAGAAGGTGGAGTGCTTGAGTCCCATTGTCCTTGCAGTTGTCTCCTGGCTAGTCCTCACCGCCATCCCATGCCCCATTACAGCAGACACCCTCCACTGTGCGAGAACACTGTGGAGTCGCCACAGGGCTAAGTTGCAGGCTTCCCGCCAGAGGCTGCGCCCTCTCTGGCAGAATTCTCCAACTAGACCTCTGCTCCCACCCTCATGGCACCCCTGGCTTCCTCTTGTAATTGCACTCCGCTTGCCATACAAGGCAGGCCTTTGGACAGGGCCTCATCAAGGCAGCTGTGCCTAGTTATTTTCTGTAAGATCCCTTCTGTCCATGGGAAACCCCCTAAGCCATTGCTGCTTACTCCTTATCCTGGTCTCCTAGGTGGCTCTAGTCAGCCTTCAAAATTTAGAATTCTCCAGAAAGGAAATAGACACCAATTTCCATGTTTATACATGTCTCCAAACTTCAGGTTACATCTAACTCCTCTCAAAAATTTGCTCAAGAATTCTCTTCACTTTGCTGCACTTGGATAGGCTTACCAGTTTCTGTCATTCAGCAGACACCCATCTGGGAAATGACCTACCTATCTCTCAACTTTGGTGACATGCCCAATATTTATGAGTGGATGATTTAGAGACCCTCTCACTTGGCTTTGGATGCAGAGAATTCTCTTCCCTATACCCTCCCCATGGGAGAGAATGAGGTAGCACTCCCTAGGAGGCCAGCAACTCAGGACTCCCACCGCTTCTCTTCAATGACTCCCTTCATTTCTGTTTTCATAGGCGAGAGGAAGGTTAAACGTGCAATTTGGCTGCCTCTAAGCAAGCTCCAGCGCGGTGTATCAGGAGCTGCTTGGCTGCTGTTTTCAGAATATAGAAATGTGTAATGTAATGCCTGCTTCCTTTTAAGTACAAGTGTCCATTGCATGTCTACTGTGAGGCCATAATTTCACTGGCCTACAGAAAATAAGATTAAATGTCCATAAATTTTGGCCAATTTGTCTGGAAGAGAAAATACTTAAATATGTGCAACAAGTGTTGGCGTAGCAGCATGGCAAAGCACTAATACTTCAGGCATAGAAAACGGGCAGGTTCAAATGCCAGCTTTTTCATTTACAAAACTGGTTACTTTTAATGGGCTCTAAGTTATTGGGCAAGTTGCAGATTTATGTGTAAAATAAGGTGAATAAAAGGAACCCATGGGTAAAAAGGTTGACAAACCCTTTCCCTTTCTGAGAATTTAATCTTTGGTTAAATGTTTTAGCTGAGATTCTCTAATAATTTAATAAGAGTAAAATGTCTCTAACATTATTAGGAACTTTGCTTATGGTTGAAAACTTCTCTTGATGGGTGAATTATATCTATACTGGAAGAACTATAAATACATGCTAGGAAGCTATGTTTTGAACTTCCCTGAGCACAGTGACTCTTGTAACTCTCATGTTCCTTGCAGGGAATCTGGAAGCTAAACCCCAGAGTTGCTACAAGAGACATTGGCTCCTGTGAGTCCAGGTGGCTTCTATAACTGCTCAAGATGCCATCTCCTTGCCCTGGGACCTCCCTAGGTGACAGTTTGCAGTGTTCCATGAATTGCTGCATAGACTTCCACTAGGTGGAAGGCCCAACATTGTCCCTCTGGCAAGCGAAGTTTTCCATTCTTCTGAGTAGACTAGTGTCCCAGTGAGGCCCATGGCAGTCCTGTGAGCCCGAGAGGTCATTTGAACCAGCTAAGAACAAGACCACTGGTGGGCATTGCAGCACCTAACCCTAAATCATATCATTGCTAGGAGGAGTAAATTAGGTAATGCAGGTAAACCACTTGGAACAGATCCTGGCACATTAAAAGTGCTCAATAAAGGGTAGATTTCACTAACTATTTAGGTGACTTTGTCCAAGTTACTTAACCCCTGCATGCAAGTTACTTCATCTATAAGGAGGTTGCTATAAACAATCCTAGCCTAATTTTCACCAAGTGCTTAAGTGCACCAGCACTCTTTTAAGTTCTTTACATATATTAACTTATTTAGTCATTAGAACACCACCACATGGAGTAAACCATCATCTTCTCCAGATGAAGAGAAATTAATCAGTTGTCCAAGATCATATGACTAGCAATGGAAAGACAATCTAAACTAAGCAATCCAGCTCCAGATTCTTTTTTTCTTCACCACTGCATGCTGCCTCTCAGAAAGCTCATTTTCTTTGTACAGTCTAAGTTCCTTCTAAGCTCTGATATTCTGTGGTCAATGTAGACTTTCCTTCTCCAACTTTCTCTCTGCAACATGAGAGTAAGGAACAGCTAAACCGCAAAAGGCAATGAGCTTAGCAGGAGAGTCTTAGTTTGTTTGGATATTCCCTCCAGAAAGATTCTCCTGTTATCATGGTATTCCGTTTCACTCATATAGGTCAAATGTTCCTCCCTTACAGTAAAGGAATCAAGGGGTTAACCCTCAAGAGCCAGAGTCACCCTTGCCTTGCAAGTTAAATCACTCCTCTCTCCACTACAAAGCTGCATCTTGGTTCTTCCATGAACCTGCCCTAGACAAGTCATTCTTATCACTGCCATGTGGACCAGCGAAATGGCACCATGGCTCCTATGCCTTCCCCTTTTATGTGTCTGAAACACATTTTTTCCCTAAAGCCTCAAGCTCCTTCATACCTCTGTCCCCATTCACTCCTCTCCCCAGAACCTTACCCACGTTGAAGGGAAATGGGGAAGGAGAGAGGAAAGTTTACCATATTCTGTGACTATTTTATACCAAAATTATGCCATGCTTTCTAAGCAAAATTATGATATCCTTTATAAGATATCAGTTGTTTCTTCACTAATAAAAATAATTTTACACTGCTCATTCTAATATTTTGCTGGTCCAGCCACTTCCCTGGTAGTCATGACCCCACTCTGCCCAGCCAAGGTCAAAGTAGCAACCTCTGGCCTTGAAACAGAGCCAGGTCACTTGGCCCACATTGAGATGGAACCCATGGCCTTGCCTACGCATCTCTGATCTCCAGAAAACTTTTCTTCTAGAGATCCAGGACTGAGTGATTCAGGCAACCATTACATGATGAGAAATGTCTCTAAATCCATCTCATCCCCAAGTATGTTTTCCTAGGCTCCAACATGGCAATACCCTGCAGTCCTACAGCAATCAAGTTAGCTTTCATTTCACGTGAAATAGATGTGCGAGTATCTTTTTACATAACGGGGAATACCTCCTTATCATTAAAAATATTCCACTACCGGCTGGGCCCGGTGGCTCACGCCAGTAATCCCAGCACTTTGGGAGGCCGAGGCGGGCGGATCACGATGTCAGGAGATCGATACCACGGTGAAACCCTGTCTCTACTAAAACTACCAAAAAAAAAAAAAATTAGCGGGATGCGGTGGCGGGCATCTGTAGTCCCAGCTACTGGGAGGCTGAGGCAGGAGAATGGCGTGAACCCGGGAGGTGGAGCTTGCAGTGACCCGAGATCACGCCATTGCACTCCAGCCTGGGCGACAGAGCGAGACTCCGTCTCAAAAAAAAAAGAAAAAGAAATGAAAGGAAAAAAAAATATTCCACTGCCGTGATCAGTGTAGCGATAACACAGTAAACTTGCTCCTCACAGGACCACATGCAAAGGGCCAATGTGCCAGCAGATCTGAGCTGAGAATCATCCTGGTGGGCAAAACAGGAACTGGCAAAAGTGCTGCAGGGAACAGCATCCTCAGGAAGCAAGCATTTGAATCGAAGCTGGGTTCCCAGACCTTGACTAAGACTTGCAGCAAAAGTCAGGGAAGCTGGGGAAATAGAGAGATTGTCATTATTGACACACCAGATATGTTTTCTTGGAAGGACCACTGTGAAGCTCTGTACAAAGAGGTGCAGAGGTGCTACTTGCTGTCTGCACCAGGACCCCATGTGCTGCTCCTGGTGACTCAGCTGGGCCGCTATACCTCACAGGACCAGCAGGCTGCACAGAGGGTGAAGGAGATCTTTGGAGAGGATGCCATGGGACACACAATTGTCCTCTTTACCCACAAGGAAGACCTCAATGGTGGCTCCCTGATGGATTACATGCACGACTCAGATAACAAAGCCCTAAGCAAGCTGGTGGCAGCATGTGGTGGGCGAATCTGTGCCTTTAATAACCGTGCTGAAGGGAGCAATCAGGATGACCAAGTGAAGGAACTAATGGACTGTATTGAGGATCTGTTGATGGAGAAAAATGGTGATCACTATACCAATGGGTTGTACAGCCTAATACAGAGGTCTAAATGTGGACCTGTGGGATCAGATGAAAGAGTAAAGGAATTCAAACAGAGCCTTATAAAGTACATGGAAACTCAAAGAAGTTACACAGCCTTGGCTGAAGCAAACTGCCTAAAAGGAGCCTTAATCAAAACACAACTGTGTGTTTTATTTTGTATTCAGTTGTTTCTCAGATTGATAATTCTGTGGCTTTGCATACTGCACAGCATGTGCAATTTGTTTTGTTGCTTACTCTTTAGTATGTGCAATTTATTCTGCAGTTTGCTGTTTATTATACCCAAAAAGTTAATGATATTTTTGAGAACAGTTATTAGACTAGAACGCAAGACTCCTAGGTTATAGTTACAGATCCCAGTTATTATTTACTCACTATCATTTAGTGGGTGAATCACAGTAATTTCCCTGTAAAATGTGGTACCTGAAGTCATATTTGAGATTCTATGAAATGTTTAAATCTGAACATCACTCCAATTATTAATGAACCAAATCATACGATAAGTTACTGTTTGCATTGAAATATAATATCAAAGCCTTTTGAAATCTGTAAACATAAAATTCCTCTCATTTTCAAATATCTAAAGCCAGTTTTATGTTCCTAAAATCTCATTTTCTTCTTTCTAGTACTACTATTTCTACTGAATATAATGAAAATGGCAATAAAATAATATTACATAAACTGTAAAGTTCCTTTGATCATATGTTGTTAATTCTCTTCTATAGTTTTCTCCTTAGAAAATGGTAAGTGGACATGACTCATGTTAGCCAGATTTTAGCCCTGACGTCCTACAGATTTATCACTGAAACATAAGTAAAGACAAATGTCAGAAAAGATAGCAAATTGGACTGGATATTCTGAAGCATCATCTTGCTAGATGCAAATAGAGGCTACATTTATTAAAAGAAACAGAATTTTTATAATTGATGAGTTCACCAGAAAAATAAAGAAAATTCCAAAGGTAGAGCAAACAATATTTTTTTTTAAATGAGGAGCACAAACTGGAGTTGAGGCCCATGAGGAATACATGAACAAGGAAGGCAGAGGTGACCGATAGACAAATGCCGGTACCAATCCTAAGATGAAGAAATCAATCTTGGGCTGTCAGTAAAATTGGAGAGCTGATTTGGAGTGTTCTGTATTAATTTAGGACCTTCCAGGAGACTAAAGTTATCCAAAATTAGTTGAATTATTGACAGCCAGTAGAAGCAAACACAAATCTTCTCTAGAGGAAAACATCTCCAATTTACTTGAGTATTCAGATGGAATTAATTCAGTAAAGTGAACCCAAATCATGTCCCTATGAACAAGATCAAAAAGATTAAAAAACCCAACAGAAGTAGACTCAGAAACTTTAATATCACAGTACTAGTTACAGTGTACTAAGTAGCTATAAAATATTTCTTAGAATATCACACACATACAGCCCAAATTAAAAAGGAACAAAAAACTACCAAAGATGATGAGCTGTATTTGAAAAAACTCATGAAATTTTAATAAATCAAATTATAATTGATTTTTTTAAAGTTAATGATGAATACTCCTATTAGTGTTGGAGAAGTGTATTCATTACATAAACTCCTCCATGGGTAGCAGTTATAAAAACTTTTAAAAATTTTAAATCTATGTAAAGATACTGGAAAACATCTAAAAGTGGACAGATGAAAAAAGAGAGTTTCTCTCAAACATTGCAGGGATTTGTATTAAAATTTGGAGCAACAAAAGATGCAGACTATCACTGCTTCTATTTAGCATTTTACCACAGGTCTTATCTATCTAATAACTTCAAAAAAAGAAATAAAAATAAAAGGTATGAGTACTGATGAGAAAGAAAAATAATAATTTTAGATAGATAATTAAAGGTAATAAAAGTAGAGCAATGAATCTCAATATAATATCAACTTTTTAAAAGCTACAACACTTCCATATCCTGACAACAGACAGAAAAACTGAATTTAAAAAACAGAGTTCAGACTTCCTTGTCAGATCAAAATAGCATAACAAGGACCAGATATCCCCTTCCTGCCCCATGTGAAACAATCAAAAAATGGACAAATGATATAAAATGACAGTGCTGAAGACACTGAAAATCAGGTAACAAAAGAGAGTAATCACTGAGAATTGGAAAACAAGACAAGAGTTTCAATTTTCCCAGCCTCCTGTCTTGAGAGAGTTTTCAGGTCACAACACAGAGAGGGTATAACAGACAGACCCTATGTTGACTTCAAATGATTCCTGGCCCCTGGTGTTCACACCTTTGTAGAACTCCTCCCCTTGATTGTAGGTGGGATCTGAGACCTATTTCTAACCAATAGAACATGGCATAGGTGACAGAATGTCACTCCAGTGATTTATATAGCTGCACAAAGACTTGCTTTTCCTTTCCTCCTGGCCTTCAAGGAGCAAATTTCCATTTTGTGAATTGCCTATGAACAGGGCTAACATGGCAGAGAACTGCAGGTGGCCTCTAGCCAACATACAGGAAAAAGTCAAAATCCTTGGTCACAGCCACAAAGAAACAAATTGTGTCAACATCCTGAGGGTTCAGATCTTTCCCATCAAGCCTCTGATTAGACTTAAGCTAGCATTACAGGCTGGTGAAACCCTAAAGCAGAGAACATACAGTTAAGCTATGTCTACACTCCCTGCCCACACTAATCTTGAGATAATAAATCTATGCTGTTTTAAGTTGCTAAGTTCGCGGTAATTTGTTATGCAGCATTAAAAAACTAACATTTATGGAAACCAGGTGGAGCCTGGCAGACTCCCTGATTTGAGAAGATAGAGTTGGGATTCTGGAGATACAAAGGTGGCTAAGAGTTCACATAACAGAGTCTGAGAGAGGAGAGAGCTATATGGAGAGAAAACTAGACACCTGCAGAGAGTCCCCCTTGAGTCTTCAATTGAATACTGATCACCACATGCATGTGGTGAAACCCCCTGAGGTGACAAAAAGAACCAGTCAACAAGATTAGAGGAAACAGTGTCCTGCACTCACCACGGACCATAAAAACTAAAAAAGCCTGTGATTTGTGGGGCATTGGGTAGATTTCCCAGAAGAGCCTTGCCTCACTAGTGGGAAATAATTGGTTCTAGACTGACAACTTATCAAGTATGCCTACCAAATATTAAAAGCAAGACCTGAAGGATCAAACTGTTTCCAAGTAACTTAAATGCATCCCAGAAGAAAGCTCAAGAATATTTACAGAAGTAAGAAAATATTCAGCACATAAGAAGGTCAAAACCAGATGTCTGGCATCCAGTAAAAAATTACCAAACATGAAAATTAGCAAGAAAATATGAAGAGATAAATCAATGAATAAATACCAGCCCAGACTGACAAAAGTGTTAGAATTATCAGCCAAAAACATTAACACAGTTATTACAACTGTGTGCTATATGTTAAAACAGTTTAAGTAGTAAGGTGGAAGACATTAAAAAGATCCAAATTTAACCTCTAGAGATAAAAACTACCATAAAAGATATAAGAAGTACATTGAATAGGGTTAGCAAAATATTAGGCTGAAAAAGAAAAGATTAGTGAACTTATGATCATCTAAATAGATGCAGAAAAGGCTTTCAATCAAATTCAAAAATCCCTTCATGTTAAAAACTCTCAATAAACCAGGTATTGAAGAAACATACCTTCAAAATAATAAGAGCTATCTATGACAAACCCACAGCCAACATTATACTGAATGGACAAAACCTGAAAGTATTCCCCTTGAAAACTGACACAAGACAAGGATGTCCTCTTTCACCACTTCCATTCAACATAGTATTGAAAGTCCTGGCCAGAGCAATCAGATAAGAGAGAGAAATAAAAGAGAGTAACAAAAGAGAGTTTGTTTCTCTCTTCCAAATGGGAAGAGAGAAATTTACACTATCCTTGTTTGCAGACAACATGAGCCTATATCTAAAAAATCCCATAGTCTCAGCCCAAAAGCTCCTTCGGCTGATAAAGAACTTCAGCAAAGCCTCAGGATACAAAATCAATGTACAAAAGTCACTAGCATTCCTATATAACAACAACAGTCAAGCCGAAAGCTAAATCAGGAATGCAATCTCATTCACAACTGCCTCAAAAAGAATAAATATTTAGGAACACAGCTAACTAGGGAGGCGAAAGATCTCTATAATGAGAACTACAAAACACTGCTTAAAGAAGTCAGAGATGACACAAACAAATGAAATAACATTCTATGCTCATGAATAAGAAGAATCAATATTGTTAAAATGACCATACTGCCCAATGTAATTTATAAATTCAATCTTATTCGTATCAAACTACCAATGACATTCTTCACAGAACTAGAAAGAAAACTATTTTAAAATTCATATGGAATCAAAACAGCCTTAATAGCCAAGGTGATCCTAAGCAAAAAGAACAAAGCTGGAGGCATCATGCTACGTAACTTCAAACTATACTACAGAGCTACAGTAAGCAAAATAGCATGGTACTGGTACAAAAACAGACATATAACCAATGGAACAGAATAGAGAGGCCAAAAATAAGGCCACACCAACTACAACCATCTGCCAAAAATAAACAATGGGGAAAGGACTCCCTATTCAATAAATGGTGCTGGGATAACTGGCTAACCAGGCTAGCCATATGCAGAAGATTGAAGCTGAACCCCTTCCTTATACCATATACAAAAATCAACTCAAGATGAATTAAAGACTTAAATGTAAAACCCAAAAACTATATAAACCCTGGAAAACAACCTAGACAATATTATTCTGGGCATACGAACTGGCAAAAATTTCATGATGAAGATGCCAAAGGCAATTGCAGCAAAAGCAAAAACTGACAAATAGAATCCAATTAAAGAGCTTCTGCACAGCAAAAGAAACTATCAACAGAGTAAACAGACAACCTACAGAATGGGAGAAAATTTTTACAAATTATGCACCTGACAAAGGTTTAATATCCAGCATCTGTAAGAAACTCAAGCAAATTTATAAGAAAAAAAAGCAACCCCATTAAAAAGTGGGCAAAGGACATGAATAGCCACTTTTCAAAACAAGACATACATGTGGCCAGCAAGCATATTTTAAAAAAGCTCAATATCACTGATAATTAGAGAAATACAAAATAAACTACAATGAGATACTATCGCACATCAGTCCAAATGGCTATTACTAAAAAGTCAAAAAATAACAAATGCTGGCAAGGTTGCTGAGAAAAGGGAACACTGATACACTGTTGGTGAGAGTGTAAATTAGTTCAACCATTGTGGAAAGCAGTGTGGCAATTCCTCAAAGATCTAAAACCAGAACTACCATTCAACCCAGCAATCCCATTACTGGGTATATCCTCAAAGGAATATAAATTATTCTATCATAAAGACACACATGCATATGTATGTTCATTGCAGCACTATTCACAATAGCAAAAACATGGAATCAACCTAAATGCCCATCAATGCTAGACTGGATAAAGAAAATGTACATATACACTATGGAATACTACACAGCCATAAAAAAGAATGAGATCATGTCCTTTGCAGGAACATTAATGGAACCGGAGGCCATTATCCTTAACAAACTAATGCAGGAACAGAAAACCAAATAGTACATGTTCTCATGTGGGAGCTAAATGATAAGAACATATGGACACAAAGAGGAGAACAACAGACACTGGGGCCTATTTGAGGGTGCAGGATGGAAGGAGGAAAAGGAACAGAAAAAACAACTATTGGGTACTAGGCTTAGTATCTGAGTGACAAAACAATCTGTACAACAAACCCTTGTGACACAAGTTTACCTATATAACAAACCTGCATATTTACCCCTGAACCTAAAAATTTAGAAAAGAGAGAAGATTAATGAACTTGAAGACACAGCAATAGAAATGTCCCAACATAGAAAACACAAAAGAAAAAAAGAATAGTCACTTTCAAAGAACAGAGCTTCAGTGAGCTCTGGGACAACCTCAAGTGGAATGTATATGTAACTGGATTCACTAAAAATAAAAGGGGGTCAGGACAGAAAAAATATTGGAATCAATAATGGCCAAAAATTTTCCAAATTTTATGAAAACTGTAAGCACAAGAACCCAAGAAGTTCAGTGAACCCCAAGCAAATAAGACATCCACAAGAAGAAACATGATAATCAGGTTGATCAAAATGAATGATAAAAGGACAATTCTTAAAGCAGCCAGAGGAAAAAAAACATATGTTATGTCCAGAGAAACAAAGGTAAGGATGACAACAGATTTTTCTGAAGAATTAATGTGACAGAGAAGACAGTGAAACAACATTTACAAAGTACAATCATGTGTCACTTAACAATGGGGATATATTCTGAGAAGTGCACCATTAAGCTACTTCATCATTCTGTGAACATTGTAGAGTGTACTTACACAAACCTAAATGGTACAGCCTACTACACACCTAGGCTGTATGATATGGCCTATTGCTCCTAGACTACAAACCTGTAGAGCATGCTACTGTAGTGAATACTGTAGGCAACTGTAACACACTGGTAAGTATTTGTGTATCTAAACATACTAAACACAGAAAAAAAATACAGTAAAAATAGGGTGCTATACTCTTATGGGACCAACATCGCATATGTGGTCTGTTGTTGACCAAAACATCATTATGTGACACATGACTGTATTAGAAGAAAAACTGTCAAATTAAAATTATTTTTCAAAATTACCTTTCAAAAATGAAGGCAAAATAAAAGCTTTTCCAGACATTCAGTAGCTCAGTTTGTTGCCAGCAGACCTGAACTACAAAAAAAAAAAAAAAAGTTAAAAAAGGAGAATGATATCAGAGAAAAATACTGATCTTTTCAAAGGAATTAAGATCATCAAAAATGGTAACCACATGAGTAAATATATAGGGTATTTTTCTTATTAATTAAATACCTTTAAAATATAATTGACTGCTTAAACAAAAATAATAACAATATAGATTGAGTTTTGCAATATATGCAAAAGTAAAACCTGTGAGAACAATAGGACAAAAAATCAGGAGAGGAAAAATGGAAAGATACTATTATAAAATGTTTATGCTCTATGTAAAGTGATATGATATCACTTCAAGGTGAACTGAGGCAAGCAAAAGCTCTATACTATAAACTCTAAGTCAACCAATAAAATAACAAAGAGTTATAGATAATAAGCCAACAGAGAGAGGAAAAATGGAATTTTTTAAAAGTTCAATTAATATAAATGAAGGCAGTAAAAAGGGAAACAAAGAACAAATGCGACAAATTTGAAAAATAGTAAGATGATAGATTTAAATCTAAAGAAGTCAATAATCTAAATATTAGAGTACATGGTCTGAATATCCTCAGTTAAAAGGCAGTGATTGTCAGAGTGGATTTAAAAAGCAAAGCTTATCTATATTTTGCCTACATGAATCTTGCACTAAATATAAAGACAGCTGGCTTAAGCAGAAAAGGATGAAAAAAGATATTCTATAATGACACTAATCAAAAGATACTTGGAATGACAATATTAATATCAGACAAAGTAGACTTCAAAGGAAAAAATATTATCAGGAATGAAGAAGGACATTCTACAATGATAAAGCCATCAATTCATCAAGAGGACATAACAATCTAAAACTTTTATGTGTGTAATAACAGAATTCCAAAACACATGAAGCAAAAATTGACAGAATTGCAATAATAAAAAGAAAAACTCACAAATATGGCCAGAGATTTTAATGCCCCTCTCAATAATTAATAGTATAGAAGATAGGTATGGAAAAATAATAATAATAGTACAAGTAGACAAAAAAATCAGTAAAGATAGAGAAGATTTGAACACCATTGTATTAGTTTCCTATGGCTGCTGCAAGAAATTCCTACAAGCTTCGTGTCTTAATACAAGCCATTTATTCTCTCACAGTTCTGGAAATCAACAGTCCAAAATCAGTTTCATGGGGCTGAAATCAAGGTGATGGTAGTGCCCTACTTCTCCAAAATCTCTAAGGGAAATATTTTTTTGCCTTTTGCAGCTTTTAGAGCTGCTCATGGCCCCTTCCTTCATCTTCAAAGCCAGCAGCACAGCATCTTGCTTCAGTCCTCACATTGCCCTCTTTTTCTGTGCCTTCCCTCTGCTTCTCTTAAAATTTATATTTAGAGTCCATCTGGACAATCAAAAATAATCTCTTTATCTCAAGATCCTTAACTCAATTACATCTGCAATGTCCCTTTTTGACATATAAAGTAACATCCACAGGTATGTCCTGGGCAATAAGACATGGATATCTTTGGGGGCATTATTCAGTGTGCCAACATTGTCAACCAATTTGACCTAATTGACATTTATAGAACATTCCACTTAATAACAGCAGAATACACATTTTCAAGTCCAATATGCTTAGTTTCCTGTTGCTGCTGTTACCATAAATTTAGTAGCTTAAAACAACAAAAATTTATTATCTTACAGTTTTGGAACTTAGAGGTTCAACATGAGTCTCAAGTTGTTGGTGAGGATGAGTTCTTTTCTGGAGGCTGTACTGGAGAATCAATTTCCTTGCCTTTTGCAGCTTCTAGAGATCACCTGCATTCCTTGGCTTATGGCCCAGTTCCACCTTCAAAGCCAATGACAATGGATTGAGTCCTTCTCACATCAAATCACTATGAACTTCTTTTCCGCATCTCTCTCCACTTTTAAGGGCCATTGTGATTACACTGGGGGTACCCAGACAATCCAAAATAATCTATTTTAAATGCAGCTAATTAGCAATCTTCCCCCCCCCCCCCACCATATTACTCCAGCAGTAAAACCAAGCCTCCAGCTTCTGCCTGGAAGGGGCTTGTCTACACATTGAGCACCCCAACTTGTACAGCTCCCACTTGAGAGACTAGCTCCTAAATCACTTATCTCTGGGAACTGACATGACTTAGCATTTACAAGTCCCCCCAGACCACAGAGAACAAAGAATTGATTTGATTTTAAATGGGAATAGGAGCACCTGTAGTGGCTACTTCCCCTGGCTCGGCACAGAACAAGAAGGCAAAACACCCAGTTTCCAGTTTCTCCCTGGAAGGGGTTCAACTGCAAACCTAACATCTTAACTTTCACTGCTGCTTCCCAGGATCAAGCCTTTAATTAGCCTGCATCTGGGAGCTGATGGGGCAGGCAATAAGTACTTCTCTGGGAGCCTGAAGGGAACTATAGGCACTTCCCACAAATCCTCTTCTCAGCTTGCTCTAGAGATAGTACCAAGCCTCCATCTGACTCACCTGTCTCTGACAGCCAATGGGAATCAATATTCATTAGGCCCCTGAGGGAAACAAAGAGCAGACCAAAGGGTTGAAAGAGTGTACAGTCTGAACGAGAGTGCAGGAATCTGACACAGATAGTCTCCATGCCTTATTCCAGAACAAGGGCAAATACACTTCAGTTCCAAGCTTCTCCCTGAAGAGAGAAAAAAAAAACTGGACCACACATCTAGCACCATAAATTTTCCAGCTTCTTCTCAAAGTATTCACTTCTTTTTGAATTGTCTCAGGGCACTAATGGGATATGGAACACATTAATCTTCTGGGGCCCATGAAGAACATAGGCAATGGTTTGGACAAGCACAAAGATTTGGGAGGCACCCAGAATCACTGGCCATACTGATTTGTGTGGTTTATTCCTACACAAGACTGGAGAGGTAGCTGTTTTATCTAATGCACAGAAACCAACACAGAATCAAGGAAAATGAAGAAACAGGAAAATACGTTTCAAACAACAACAACAACAACAAAACAAAAAACAAAACAAAACAAAAAAAGATAAAACTCCAGAAGTCAACTTAATAAAATAGTGACAAGTCATTTACCCAGCAGGGAATTCAAAATAATGGTCTTAAAAATATTCACTGAGGTCAGGAGAGAAAGGCATGAACAAAGTGAGACTTTCAACACACAGATAGAAAATGTTTAAACATACCAAACAGAAGTGATACAGCCGAAGAATACAATGCCTGAACTGAAAAATTCAACAGAGAAGTTCAGCAGCAGACTAAACCAAGCAGAAGAAAGCATCAGTGAACTTGAAGACAGGCCATTGGAAATCATCCAATCAGAGGAGCAAAAAGAAATAAGAATGAAAGAGTGAAGATACCTTAAGGGACTTATGGGACACATAAAGCCGACCAATGTATACATTATTAGAGACCCAAAAGAAGAGAAAAAAGAAAGTGAAAGAAAGTATTAAGTTGGTAAAAGAGTAATTGCAGTTTTTGCAATACATCTGCAAAAAAACGCAATTACTCTTGCACCAACCTAATATATTCCAAGAGATAATAGCTAAAAACATCCCAAGCCTGGGGGAGTAAATAGAAATCCAGATCCAGGAAGCCCAAAGGATACTAAATAAAGTGAATCCAAAAAGACCCATTATAATTAAATTGTCAGAAGTTAAAGACAGAGAATTTTGAAATCAGAAAGAGAAAAGCAACCTACTACATACAAGGGAATCTTCATAAGACTATTAGTAGATTTTTCAGCAGTAACCTTGCAGGTAAGAAGTGCATGGAATGATATACTCAGAGTGCTGGGAGTGGGGAACTGCCAATCAAGAATACTGTGTCAAGCAAATCTAACCTTAAAAAAATGAAAAAGAGATTAAGACTTTCTCAGAAAAACAAAAGCTCGGGGAGTTTATTACTGCTAGACCTACCTTACAAGAAATGCTAAAGAGAGCTCTTCAAGTTTAATTAAAAGAGTACTAAACAGCAACACACGTGCATAAGAAGGAATGAAGCTCACTGGTAAAGGTAAATATAGACAAAAATAGAATATTGTATTACTATAATGGAGGTGGTAAATCACTTTTAATTCTACTATAAAAGCTAAAAGGAAAAAACATTAAAATGTCTATAAATGATATTAATAGACACATAATACAAATAGATGTACATTGTTACATCAACAGAATATAATTTGGAGGGAAGAGGGATCAAAGCAGTTATTGTATGCAAATGAAGTTATTATCAGCTCAAAATAGACTGTTACAACTATAAGACATTTTATGTAAGCTCCTTGGTAGCCACAAAGAAAACACCTATAGAAGTTACACAAAAGAAAAACATAAAGAAATCAAAACCAATTAATTAAAAATGAAACAGAGCAAGAGATAAAAATAGGGACAAAAGGGCTGTAAGACAAAGAGAAAACAGTTAATCAAATGGTAATAATAAATCCCTCCTTATCAATAATTATTTTAAACAAATGAACTAAACTTCCCAATAAAATGATATAGAGTCACTAAATGGATAAAAAAAATCAAGATCAAACTATCTGCTGTCAACAAGAAACTCACTTTAGATTTAAGGACACACAGAGGCTGAAAGGAAAGGGATGAGAAAGGATATTTCATATAAACAGTAACCAAAGGAGAGCAGGAATGGCTCTGCTTATATAAGATAAAGCAGAGTTTCAGTTAAAAAAAAAAACTGTTTTTAGATACAAAAAAGATCATTACATAATGGTAAAAGAGTCAATTTAACAGAAACATATAACAATACTAAATATAAATGTGTCCGACATCAGAGCATCTAAGTATATAAAGCAAATATTGACAGATTGAAAAGGAGAGGTTGACAGCAATACAATAATAGTAGAAGACTTCAATATCCTACTTTCAATAGTGAATAGGACATCAGACATAAAATCAACAAAGAGACAATGGAACTGAACTACACTATAGGGCAAATGGACCTAATAGATTTATACAGAACTTTTTATCCAACAGGAGAAGAATATATATTCTTCTCATTCATACATGGAACATTCTCCAGAATAGATCACATTTCAGGTCACAAAGCAAATCTTAACAAATTTAAGAAGATTGAAATCATTCCAGATATACTATCCAACCACAATAGAATGAAGCTAGAAATCAATAAAAGCAATAAAAATGGGAAATTTCATGAATACATGAAAACTAACACACTCTTGAATAATCACTGGGTAAAAGAAGAAATCAGAGAAATTTTAAAACTATCTTGAGAGAAGTAAAAATGAAAATATAATTTATCAAAAGTTACAGGATACAGCAAAAGGAGTTCCAAGAACGAAATTTATAGCAATGTGGAAGCATCTGAAGACCATTATCTTAAGCAAACTAACACAGGAACAGAAAACCAAATACCATGTGTTCTCACTTATAATGGGAGCTAAACATTGAATACACATGGACACAAAAATGGGAACAATAGACACTGGGGATTACTTGAGTGGGGAGGGTGGGAAGGGGGAGAGGTTGGAAGGCTACCTATCGGGTACTGCGCTCACTACCTTGATGATGAGATCATTCATACACCAAGCCTCAGTGACACACACTGTACTCATGTAACAAACCTGTACATATACCCCCTTAACCCAAAATAAAACTAGAAAAAAAAGAAGAGCAATCTCAAATAAGCAACCTAACTTTACACGTCAAATTACTATAAAGACAACAAATAGATATGGATAGCATTGAATCTATAAATTACTTTGGGCAGTATGGCCATTTTCACACTAAGCAAAAAGAACAAACTGGAGGCATCATGCTACCCGACTTCAAACTATACTACAAGGCTACAGTAACCAAAACAGCATGGTACTCGTACCAAAACAGATAAATAGACCAGTGGAACAGAACAGAGGCCTCAGAAATAACACCACACATCTACAACTATCTGATCTTTGACAACCCTGACAAAAACAAGAAATGGGGAAAGGATTCCCTATTTAATAAATGGTGATGGGAAAACTGACTAGCCATATGCAGAAAACTGAAATTGGACCACTTCCTTACACCTTATACAAAAATTAACTCAAGATGGATTAAAGACTTAAACCTAAGACCTAAAACCATAAAAACCCTAGAATAAAACCTAGGCAATATCATTCAGGACATAGGCATGGGCAAAGACTTCATGACTAAAACACCAAAAGCAATGGCAACAAAAGCTAAAATTGACAAATGGGATCTAATTAAACTAAACAGTGTCTGCATAGCAAAAGAAACTATTTTCAGAGTGAACAGACAACCTACAGAATGGGAGAAAAATTTTGCAATCTATCCATCTGACAAAGGGCTAATATCCAGAATCTACAAAGAACTTAGATAAATTTACAAGAAAAAAACAAACAACCCCATCAAAAAGTGGGCAAAGTATATGAACAGACACTTTTCAAAAAAAGACATTTATGCAGTCGCAAACATATGCAAAAAAGCTCATCATCACTGGTCATTAGAGAAATGCAAATCAAAACCACAATGAGATACCATCTCACGCCAGTTAGAATGGCAAACATTAAAAAGTCAGGAAAGGTGGGGAGGAGCCAAGATGGCTGAATAGGAACAGCTCTGGTCTACAGCTCCCAGTGTGAGCGACGCAGAAGATGGGTGATTTCTGCATTTCCATCTGAGGTACCGGGTTCATCTCACTAGGGAGTGCCAGACAGTGGGTGCAGGTCAGTGGGTGCATGCACCATGCGTGAGCCAAAGCAGGGCGAGGCATTGCCTCACTCAGGAAGTGCAAGGGGTCAGGGAGTTCCCTTTCCTAGTCAAAGAAAGGGGTGACAGACGGCACCTGGAAAATCAGGTCACTCCCACCCAAATACTGTGCTTTTCCAACAGGCTTAAAAAACAGCGCACCAGGAGATTATATCCCGCGCATGGCTCGGAGGGTCCTATGCCCATGGAGTCTCGCTGATTGCTAGCACAGCAGACTGAGATCAAACTGCAAGGTGGCAGCAACGCTGGGGAAGGGGCGCCCGCCATTGCCCAGGCTTGCTTAGGTAAACAAAGCAGCCAGGAAGCTCCAACTGGGTGGAGCCCACCACAGCTCTAGGAGGCCTGCCTGCCTCTGTAGGCTCTACCTCTGGGGGCAGGGCACAGACAAACAAAAAGACAGCAGTAACCTCTGCAGACTTAAATGTCCCTGTCTGACAGCTTTGAAGAGAGCAGTGGTTCTCCCAGCATGCAGCTGGAGATCTGAGAACTGGCAGACTGCCTCCTCAACTGGGTCCCTGACCCCTGACCCCCGAGCAGCCTAACTGGGAGGCACCCCCCAGCAGGGGCAGACTGACACCTCACATGGCCGGGTACTCCAACAGACCTGCAGCTAAGGGTCCTGTCTGTTAGAAGGAAAACTAACAAACAGAAAGGACATCCACACCAAAAACCCATCTGTACATCACCATCATCAAAGACCAAAAGTAGATAAAACCACAAAGATAGGGAAAAAACAGAGCAGAAAAACTGGAAACTCTAAAAAGCAGAGCACCTCTCCTCCTCCAAAGGAACGCAGTTCCTCACCAGCAATGGAACAAAGCTGGACAGAGAATGACTTTGACGAGCTGAGAGAAGAAGGCTTCAGACGATCACATTACTCTGAGCTACCGGAGGACATTCAAACCGAAGGCAGAGAAGTTGAAAACTTTGAAAAAAGTTTAGAAGAATGTATAACTAGAATAACCCACACAGAGAAGTGCTTAAAGGAGCTGATGGAGCTGAAAACCAAGGCTCGAGAACTACGTGAAGAATGCAGAAGCCTCAGGAGCCAATGCGATCAACTGGAAGAAAGGGTGTCAGCAATGGAAGATGAAATGAATGAAATGAAGCGAGAAGGGAAGTTTAAAGAAAAAAAGAATAAAAAGAAATGAGCAAAGCCTCCAAGAAATATAGGACTATGTGAAAAGACCAAATCTACATCTGATTGGTGTACCTGAAAGTGACGGGGAGAATGGAACCAAGTTGGAAAACACTCTGCAGGATATTATCCAGGAGAACTTCCCCAATCTAGCAAGGCAGGCCAACATTCAGATTCAGGAAATACAGAGAACGCCACAAAGATACTCCTCGAGAAGAGCAACTCCAAGACACATAATTGTCAGATTCACCAAAGTTGAAATGAAGGAAAAAATGTTAAGGGCAGCCAGAGAGAAAGGTCGGGTTACCCTCAAAGGGAAGCCCATCAGACTAACAGCAGATCTCTCAGCAAAAACTCTACAAGCCAGAAGAGAGTGGGGGCCAATATTCAACATTCTTAAAGAAAAGAATTTTCAACCCAGAATTTCATATCCAGCCAAAATAAGCTTCATAAGTGAAGGAGAAATAAAATACTTTACAGACAAGCAAATGCTGACGAATTTTGTCACCACCAGGCCTGCCCTAAAAGAGCTCCTGAAGGAAGCACTAGACATGGAAAGGAACAACCGGTACCAGCCACTGCAAACTCATGCCAAAATGTAAAGACCATCGAGACTAGGAAGAAACTGCATGAACTAACGAGCAAAATAACCAGCTAACATCATAATGACAGGATCAAATTCACACATAACAATATTAACTATAAATGAAAATGGACTAAATTCTCCAATTAAAAGACACAGACTGGCAAATTGGATAAAGAGTCAAGACCCATCAGTGTGCTGTATTCAGGAAACCCATCTCACGTGCAGAGACACACATAGGCTCAAAATAAAAGGATGGAGGAAGATCTACCAAGCAAACGGAAAACAAAAAAAGGCAGGGGTTGCAATCCTAGTCTCTGATAAAACAGACTTTAAACCAACAAAGATCAAAAGAGACAAAGAAGGCCATTATATAATGGTAAAGGGATCAATTCAACAAGAAGAGCTAACTATCCTAAATATATATGCACCAAATGCAGGAGCACCCAGATTCATAAAGCAACTCCTGAGTGACCTACAAAGAGACTTAGACTCCAACACATTAATAGTGGGAGATTTTAACACCCCACTGTCAACATTAGACAATTCAATGAGACAGAAAGTCAACAAGGATACCCAGGAATTGAACTCAGCTCTGCACCAAGCAGACCTAATAGACATCTACAGAACACTCCACCCCAAATCAACAAAATATACATTTTTTTCAGCACCACACCACACCTATTCCAAAATTGACCACATACTTGGAAGTAAAGCTCTCCTCAGCAAATGTAAAAGAACAGAAATTATAACAAACTATCTCTCAGACCACAGTGCAATCAAACTAGAACTCAGGATTAAGAATCTCATTCAAAACTGCTCAAATACATGGAAACTGAACAACCTGATCCTGAATGACTACTGGGTACATAACGAAATGAAGGCAGAAATAAAGATATTCTTTGAAACCAACGAGAACAAAGACACAACATACCAGAATCTCTGGGACGCATTCAAAGCAGTGTGTAGAGGGAAATTTATAGCACTAAATGCCCACAAGAGAAAGCAGGAAAGATCCAAAATTGACACCCTAACATCACAATTAAAAGAACTAGAGAAGCAAGAGCAAACACATTCAAAAGCTAGCAGAAGGCAAGAAATAACTAAAATCAGAGTGGAACTGAAGGAAATAGAGACACAAAAAACTCTTCAAAAAATTAATGAATCCAGGAGCTGGTTTTTTGAAAGGATCAACAAAATTGATAAACCGCTATCAAGACTAATAAAAAAAGAGAGAAGAATCAAATAGACGCAATAAAAAATGATAAAGGGGATATCACCACTGATTCCACAGAAACACAAACTACCATCAGAGAATACTACAAACACCTCTACGCAAATAAACTAGAAAATCTAGAAGAAATGGATAAATTCCTCAACACATACACTCTCCCAAGACTAAACCAGGAAGAAGTTGAATCTCTGAATAGACCAATAGCAGGCTCTGAAATTGTGGCAATAATCAATAGCTTACCAACCAAAAAGAGTCCAGGACCAGATGGATTCACAGCTGAATTCTACCAGAGGTACAAGGAGGAACTGGTACCATTCCTTCTGAAACTATTCCAATCAACAGAAAAAGAGGGAATCCTCCCTAACTCATTTTATGAGGCCAGCATCATCCTGATACCAAAGCCGGGCAGAGACACAACCAAAAAAGAGAATTTTAGACCAATATCCTCGATGAACTTTGATGCAAAAATCCTCAATAAAATACTGGCAAACCGAATCCAGCAGCACATCAAAAACCTTCTCCACCATGATCAAGTGGGCTTCATCCCTGGGATGCAAGGCTGGTTCAATATATGCAAATCAATAAATGTAATCCAGCATATAAACAGAACCAAAGACAAAAACCACATGGTTATCTCAATAGATGCAGAAAAGGCCTTTGACAAAATTCAACAACCTTCATGCTAAAAACTCTCAATAAATTACGTATTGATGGGACGTATTTCAAAATAATAAGAGCTATCTATGACAAACCCACAGCCAATATCATACTGAATGGACAAAAACTGGAAGCATTCCCTTTGAAAACTGGCACAAGACAGGGATGCCCTCTCTCACCACTCCTATTCAACATAGTGTTGGAAGTTCTGGCCAGGGCAATTAGGCAGGAGAAGGAAATAAAGGGTACTCAATTAGGAAAAGAGGAAGTCAAATTGTCCCTGTTTGCAGACGACATGATTGTATATCTAGAAAACCCCATTGTCTCAGCCCAAAATCTCCTTAAGCTGATAAGCAACTTCAGCAAAGTCTCAGGATACAAAATCAATGTACAAAAATCACAAGCATTCTTATACACCAACAACAGACAAACAGAGAGCCAAATCATGAGTGAACTCCCATTCACAATTGCTTCCAAGAGAATAAAATACCTAGGAATCCGACTTACAAGGGATGTGAAGGACCTCTTCAAGGAGAACTACAAACCACTGCTCAATGAAATAAAAGAGGACACAAACAAATGGAAGAACATTCCATGCTCATGGGTAGGAAGAATCAATATCGTGAAAATGGCCATACTGCCCAAGGTAATTTACAGATTCAATGCCATCCCCATCAAGCTACCAATGACTTTCTTCACAGAATTGGAAAAAACTACTTCAAAGGTCATATGGAACCAAAAAAGAGCCCGCATTGCCAAGTCAATCCTAAGCCAAAAGAACTAAGCTGGAGGCATCACACTACCTGACTTCAAACTATACTACAAGGCTACAGTAACCAAAACAGCATGGTACCGGTACCAAAACAGAGATATAGATCAATGGAACAGAACAGAGCCCTCAGAAATAACGCCGCTTATCTACAACCATCTGATCTTTGACAAACCTGAGAAAAACAAGCAATGGGGAAAGGATTCCCTATTTAATAAATGGTGCTGGGAAAACTGGCAAGACATATGTAGAAAGCTGAAACTGGATCCCTTCCTTACACCTTATACAAAAATCAATTCAAGATGGATTAAAGACTTAAACATTAGACCTAAAACCATAAAAACCCTAGAAGAAAACCTAGGCTTTACCATTCAGGACATAGGCATGGGCAAGGACTTCATGTCTAAAACACCAAAAGCAATGGCAACAAAAGCCAAAATTGACAAATGGGATCTAATTAAACTAAAGAGCTTCTGCACAGCAAAAGAAACTACCATCAGAGTGAACAGGCAACCTACAGAATGGGAGAAAATTTTTGCAACCTACTCATCTGACAAAGGGCTAATATCCAGAATCCACAATGAACTCAAACAAATTTACAAGAAAAAAACAAACAACCCCGTCAAAAAGTGGGCGAAGGATATGAACAGACACTTCTCAAAAGAAGGCATTTATGCAGCCAAAAAACACATGAAAAAATGCTCATCATCACTGGCCATCAGAGAAATGCAAATCAAAACCACAATGAGATACCATCTCACACCAGTTACAATGGCGATCATTAAAAAGTCAGGAAACAACAGGTGCTGGAGAGGATGTGGAGAAATAGGAACACTTTTACACTGTTGGTGGGACTGTAAACTAGTTCAACCATTGTGGAAGTCAGTGTGGTGATTCCTCAGGGATCTAGAACTAGAAATACCATTTGACCCAGCCATCCCATTACTGGGTATATACCCAAAGGACTATAAATCATGCTGCTATAAAGACACATGTACACGTATGTTTATTGCGGCATTATTCACAATAGCAAAGACTTGGAACCAACCCAAATGTCCAACAACAATAGACTGGATTAAGAAAATGTGGCACATATACACCATGGAATACTATGCAGCCATAAAAAATGATGAGTTCATGTCCTTTGTAGGGACATGGATGAAATTGGAAATCATCATTCTCAGTAAACTATCGCAAGAACAAAAAACCAAACACCGCATATTCTCACTCATAGGTGGGAATTGAACAATGAGAACACATGGACACAGTAAGGGGAACATCACACTCTGGGGACTGTTGTGGGGTGGGGGGAGTGGGGAGAGATAGCGTTGGGAGATATACCTAATGCTAGATGACGAGTTAGTGGGTGCAGCGCACCAGCATGGCACATGTATACATATGTAACTAACCTGCACATTGTGCACATGTACCCTAAAACTTAAAGTATAATAACAATAAACAAAATAATAATAATAATGAGCTATTTATGACAAACCTATAGCCAATATCATACTGACTGTGCAAAAGCTGGAAGCACTCCCTTTGAAAACTGGCACAAGACAAAGATGCCCTCTCTCACCACTCCTATTCAACATAGTATTGGAAGTTCTGGCCAAGGCAATCAGGCAAGAGAAAGAAACAAAGGATATACAAATAGGAAGTGAGGAAGTCAAATTGTCTCTGTTTGCAGGTGACATGATTGTATATTTAGAAAACCCCATTGTCTCAGCCCTAAAACTCCTTAAGCTCATGAGTAACTTCAGCAAAGTCTCAGGATACAAAATCAATGTGCAAAAATCACAAGCATTCCTATACACCAATAACAGACAAACAGAGAGCCAAATCATGAGTGAATTCCCATTCACAATTGCTACAAAGTATATTAAATACCTAGGAATACAGCTTACAAGGGATGTGAACAACCTCTTCAAGGAGAACTATAAACCACTGCTCAAGGAAATAAGAGAGGACATAAACAAATGGAAAAACATTCCATGCTCATGGATAGGAAGAATCAACATTGTGAAAATGGCCATACTGCCCAAAGTAATTCATAGATTCAATGCTATTCCCATCAAGCTACCATTGACTTTCTTCACAGAACAAGAAAAAACTACTTTAAATTTCATATAGAACCAAAGAAGAGACTGTATAGCCAAGACAATCCTAAGCAAAAAGATCAAGATCAAAGCTGGTGGCATCACACTACCTGACTTCAAACTATACTACAAGGCTACAGTAACCAAAACAGCATGGTACTGGTACCAAAACAGATATATAGACCAATGGAACAAAACAGAGGCCTCAGAAATAACACTACACATATACAACCATCTGATCTCCAACAAATCTGACCAAAACAAGCAATGGGGAAAGGATTCCCTATTTAACAAGTGGCGCTGGGAAAACTGGCTAGCCATATGCAGAAAACTGAAACTGGACCCCTTCCTCACACCTTACGCCTTATACAAAAAATAACTCAAGATGTATTAAAGACTTAAATGTCAAACCTAAAGCCATAAAAACCGTAGAAGAAAACCTAGGCAATACCCTTCAAGACATAGGCATGGTAAAGACTTCATGACTAAAACACCAAAAGCAATTGCAAGAAAAGCCAAAACTGACAAATGGGATCTAATTAAACTAAAGAGCTTCTGCACAGCAAAAGAAACTATTATCAGAGTGAACAGACAACCTACAGAATGGGAGAAAATTTTTGCAATCTATCCATGTGACAAAGTCTAATATCCAGAATCTACAAAGAACTTAAACAAATTTACAAGAAAAAAAACAAACAACCCTATCAAAAATTGGGTGAAGGATATGAACAGACACTTCTCAAAAGAAGACATTTATGTGACAAACATATAAAAAAAACCTCATCATCACTGGTCATTAGAGAAATGCAAATCAAAACCACAATGAGATACCGTCTCACACCAGTTAGAGTGGCGATCATTAAAAAGTCAGGAAACAGATGCTGGAGAGGATGTGGAGAAATAGGAATGCTTTTACACTGTTGGTGGGAGTGTAAAGTAGTTCAACCATTGTGGAAAACAGTGTGGCAATTCCTCAAGGATCTAAAACCAGAAATACCATTTGACCCAGCAATCCCATTACTGGGTATATACCCAAAGGATTATAAATTATTCTGCTATAAAGACACATGCATATATATGTTTATTACAGCACTGTTCACAATAGCAAAGACTTGGAACCAACCCAAATGCCCATCAGTGATAGACTGGATAAAGAAAGTGTGGCCCATATATACCATGGAATACTATGCAGCCATAAAAAGTATGAGTTCATGTCCTTTGTAGGGACATGGATGAAGCTGGAAACCATCATTCTCAGGAAACTAACACAGGAACAGAAAACCGAACACTGCATGTTCTCACTCATAAGTGGGAGTTGAACAATGAGAACACATGGACACAGGGAGGGGAACATCACACATGGGGGCCTGTCGGGGGTTGGGGAGGCAAGTGGAGGGAGAGCATTGGGACAAATACCTTAAAACCTAGATGACAGGTTGATGGGTGCAGCAGACCACCATGGCAAATGTATACCTATGTAACAAACCTGCATGTTCTGCACATGTATCCCAGAATGTAAAGTACATTAAATAAAAATTTTTAAGTATGCAGCTCCTTCCCATTCTCTCTTGCTCCTACTCCAGCCATGAGATGTGTGTGCTTCCCCTCTGGCTTCTGCCATGATTGTAAGTTTCCTGAGGCCTCCCCAGAAGCCAAGGAGATGCCAGCATCATGCTCCCTGTACAGGCTGTGGAACCGTGAGCCAATTAAATCTCTTTTCTTTATAAATTACCCAATCTCGGGTATTTCTTTAAAGCAGCGTGAGGACGGACTAATACATTTTCTTCACTGCATTTATAAGGATACGGAAGAAAACAATGAACATGCAAAGACTGGAAAGAGAGGAAGGAAGCATTAATACAGGGTACAAAAGGAAGCCGGAGTTCTAGATATAATTCTGAGACTCAAGTGTAGTCAGGGTCTGAGCTTCACCTGGGTTTCCACAACTGATAGTAAGTATCAATGAATAATAATAGGCAACAAAGCCCAGAGACAGTGAGACATAATCAAGAGCTAATAGAAATGTAGAGGAAAATAAAGACAGAAACGGTTACTTTTCAATAGGAAGAAGATCCCAGAAAGCACCAGTAGGAAAGTGGAAATGTGGGACGGGAAGGGATAGTAGCCAATGCAAGTTGCATTAATGAGCACATTACCACTGTATACGGTGATGAGGATGTTCCCACTGCAGACAACTGGGTCTCAGTCCTGCTGGGGACTCAGCAATTTGTATGCAGTACATCACAGAGTTGTCTCACGTGGTGGACAACTTGATAAGTTGTGGTGTTTATCCATAAGTCCTAACTGACATTGATTGAAATCTGCTCCTAGGATATCAGCTCTGACAACTTCAGGCTGCTGCATGCATTACCTACATATACTTTTGTAGTCAGATAAACCCTCTGACAGAGAGTTATGAGTGGCTGAAGTAAGACATCATACACATGCATGGAAACAATAAATGGCCCGGAGCTGTTGAAGAGGCTCTGAAAGCGTCTTTATGAAAGGTACACGTCAAGTATCAAAGACTTATTCAAAGCTGATCTATGTGGCTTGGGCTAGGATGAGGCTAGTGAGAAGCCCTAGGCACCTCACTCTTAAGAAAACACTCACTCCCAGGGTCACCCACCTACAAGATCTGCACTTGGGTGACCTGAGAGTGAGTGCCTCCTTAAGCTGTGTGCTCTAGATGCCCCACCTGCCTCACAATAGCCCCAGCCCTGCCGGTCTACTGGGAGAATGACAGGCTCCCTGTTTCAGCAATGATGAATGGAAACAGTGGACATGTCAGATATCCAGGAGACTCTGTGCCCCCAAAAAGATGGGAAACAGTAAAAGCTGGGTCTCTTCCCTACCAGAAAAAAAGTGGTCTGGCATGAAAGAGGTTAAAAAGCAGATCCTATCCAGTAGGGTAAGACTCGGGTTATTGTCTTCCCCATATACTCCAGAAAGCCAACTCCAGAAAGTTTAAATGAGTTAGGTGAGGTCCTATAGCTGGTTAATGACCTAACCAGATATGCAGCCTGCTCCTCTGTAGCCTTCTTACCACCCAGTGATTCGCTTTTTTGCTGACCTCATGATGCTCTTGAGAGAAGATAGAATAACTAGAACTGGTGATACCAACATAGACGACTAGACTAAAGCCTCCTAATAAGGCTAAATTGAAGATAGTGCGAAGGTGTTCATCCTCAACATACCAGTTCACCCTCAAGTCCTTCAATAGCTGGGAAAGCCCTCCTCTCTCAGAGAATGATAAGACTTTGCCTTCAGGTTTTTCTGGCAGACTGGATCTGGGGCTGGCACTGGCCACATGAATGTCTAATTAATGGACAGATGATGAGAACAGCTATTACGTTATTTGTTCCGGGGCAGGAGACTCTCTGGGCCTATTTTATATGGGGAAATGTCCCTATAGGGCAAAGGCAACTGAAGATTAGCTCAGTAATCAATTTTAGAAGTACAGTCAGGCCTCAGAGACTACAACATCCCTCCCTTCTTAGAGCATGGCAAGATATTTGACATCATGAGGCCCTGCTGGAGACACATAACCTCAGTCACAGCAGAAAGTAGAGTCGGTAGGAGAAGTATTGCCAACCCACAGCTCAATGGGAAATGTTTCTGTCTCTTTAAACCATAACCATGGGGCCCACCCTGAGCTTCCTGATTTCTGAAGTCTGAGTGATTTCCTCCGTGTGCCGAGAGGAAACAGCCTTCTGCACTCACAGCCGAAGGGAAAGCAGCAGGTTGGGGCTTCTTGTGGCCAACTTCAGAGCCTGTCACCAGGAAAGGTGAGCCTGAGCCTGGGAGTGGCGGGGGCTGGGGGTGCTCTGAGAACCAGAAAGAACATGATTCCTAGAGTGTTTACTGCCTGAACACTTGCATTCTACAAGGCATCATGCAGGCGAGCAAGATCTGGAACAATCAAGGACATACTTCCAGGTTTTTAAGTAGGCAAAGTTCAGAGGAAATTTTAGGATCATCTTCTCCAGCTCTGGAGCACACACGTTCTTGGTGGGGAGTGAAATCTGTCTCCTCCCACATTCCCTTAACAAAGTAAGAAAAGAGTGTGCTGGAACCACCTCCAGGAATAAAATACAGTTTGAAAGGCATTAAACATTCCTCAAGCTCCCTATTGAGCAAAGGCAAAAGATATTTCTATGGCCCCATAAGCCATCTAACCTCGGAGTGAGTTACGACGTGACAAGACTGGGTACATTTGAACTCTCCTCCTCACTGTCCACAGAAGGGGCCCCTGAGGAGACATCTGAGATTAATATCTTGGTCTTCAACCCCTTTCCCTGCATGGCCCCTTAAACATCTGCTCCCTTAATTCAAGCTTCTCCTGCTCCAGCCACGGGGACACCTCAAATTCCCATCTGTACAATAAAGGGGGTTGCAAAAATGACTGATGTCCAAGTTCTGAGCTGTGGACATCAGAAACATTTAATTCATGAATCAGAATCTCAGGATGGATCCAAGAGATGTACATTTTTAAAGAACATTCAAGTAATTCTGAGAAGCAGCACATTTGAGCGGTGAAGAACTCAATAAACTTTGCGGTCTCTTAAAGTGTTAGGAATACAGGATTCTATAAGTGTACATTCCTCAATGATTAAGGGCCATTTGTCACCTCAGAGTTCAGCTGGGTCTTACTTTCCTTTAAAAAAAAAAACTATTTAAAATCATTTCAACCCCTCTTCTAAACTATGGAAAATTCCAAAGGCCTATCCAGAATTCTGCAGCACTGGAAAAAGAAATTCTCATTTTCTTGGTTGACAAGGACATTTTGCTTCATCTAAATTCTTTTCTCTGAATCTTGCAACTGTTTCTTCATTTCTGCTTTGATGTCATTTATGATCATCTGTTCATTCCTACATGCAAAATAATTAATCACATAAGGCCCATGGAGTGAATTTTATTGAAGGCTTTGGGGAGGGCCAGTAGAGTTCCTGCAGAAACAGAAACAGCTCTAGATTTAATATGAGGCAAATCTGTTCTCCAAGTCCTTCAATCAAAGACAAGTTACTCAGCCAGCCTCTCTCTCTGCCCCTCCTTCATGTGTGGTGCCAATGGGAGAGAACACAGGTATCCAAGTGACCAGGGTGCAAGACACAACAAGTTTGACATGGATGGTGAGGCACAGACAGATGGTCGGGGAGGATCAATAGTCCTAGGAGGGGAAGCCGAGTGGGTTGGAAAGGCCCTGAAATCTGCTGATTGTGAAGTAGCTGACCGAGTGGGGTATTGTCTGGGAATGAGGCTGGAGACATAGATGCAGGGAGAAGTGAATTTGTGTTCAGGAGCTTGTGTGATTAGGCAAACTGGATCACAGAGGGTTTAGCTGTATTACACAATGTTAGATTTCAGCATAATCACATTTGGAGGGGAAGCAACTTCAGGAGTTGAAGGGAAGTGTTCAAGTCTCTCCAGCACAGATATCGTATTTAGACATCTCTAAACAAACCAAATTATTTGATTTTAAGAAAACAGAGTTAGGGGCCCTCCAGATCTACTTGGGAGATCTGTTCAATTTCCAAAAGAAAAATCCCAATTTTCTTCTTTCTTCCCAGGTCAGCCACTTGAAGGTGGGTGCCTAAGTCACTGGGCACATTTTCTGGTTCTGAGGGTTTACCTAATCTTCCCCCAGCTGCTGAATCCCCTGATATCTCTAGCTTATGTCAGTGATATAGAATCACCCAGGGAAAAGTAATACCTAAAGCCCATTGGCATTGAGTAAATGTTATAACCGACCCTCTGCTTTTTGCTTTTGGAGTTCCTGAAAAGACAAATCTAGCCTCACCCAATGTTCTCACAGCATCCTACCAACTCAAGGGCAGGGTGTTGGCCCTTCCAAGGCCATTCTCTCAAGTTCCGATATAATCCTTACTTAAAGAAGGATTAGCACAATGTATTATATTTGACGAAATTTACCTGTCTTCTCTCTAGCCACGTGCCCTTCTGCCAAGACATACACCTAGATTTTTAGATCCTTGCAAGCAAAAACCATGTCTTTTCACTGTGCTGTCACCAGCTCTTTGGACTTTGCCTGACACCCTGTAGGTGGTTATGCCTATTTGTGGTTATGCCTATTTGAGGAATAAATAAATGAATTAACAAATTGTGTTTGGGACTCTTCCAGGTAAGCATGGGAGGAAGGAAGATGGCGACAGATGAAGAAAATGTCTATGGTAAGACCATATCTCTACACCTCATACTTGCCCCCCTAGGCTTGAACTTAGGGTAATAAGGAGAATGGGGCTTCCTCAAGACTGAACAGAGATAAGTTCCAGAGGTGTCTCAACTCTGGGATGAAACAGCACCAGCCCTGAGATCTGCATTTTAGCTGGATCTCTGCTGTGAGAAGTTAAGTTCTGTGACTAGCCTGCTCCCTTGGTTCCACAGTATAAAATAAGGATAATAAACCTACTCCGATCACCGCAGAAGAAGTGCAGAGGGGATTAAATCATGCACTACAGTGAACATGATTTGTGAGGTAGAATGTTTAGAGAACAAGGATAGAGGGTTAAAACATATATTCTTTTTAGGCAGCCAGTTTAAGAGAGAGATAAGAGAGGAAGGAGAGAAAGAGGGAGAGAAAGAGAGAAGAAGGAAAGAGGGCTTATTTCACCCCCTCAACAGGCCTCTGAGAAACAGGCCCCTATTATCGCTCCCACTTTTGCCGAAGAGGCTTAATACTTAGATTATGCAGCTTCCCCAAGGTTACACAACCAGCACGTGGTGGGGCTGTGATTCAAACCAGGGTATCTGGGACTCCACACAGCTCTTCACTACCAGGCAGTATTGCCCCCACTGCCTGTCTCTGGGGATGGTCTCTGGGAGAATATTTCAGAGTCCATCGAAATTTTCAAATATGAAATAAATATGTCTGCATGTGTGTGGATGACCAGAAATGTCAGATGAACTATTGGGCTGGACTGATAAAGAAGCATTTCTATGATAATCAACTGTAGTTGGAGCATCTACTGGTGCAGGCAGACAACCCAAATACAAAAGGAAAAGGTGGAAATGAACGCCCAGGCGTTCAAATCTCTATTCTTAACCACTTATGCTAAAGGCAAGAAGATTCCAGTTCCCAAGGGGAAGTTGGTTAAACTTAAGTAAGATTATAACACTTGGTCTCACAGGTTTAGAAGAGAACGCTCAGTCCCGGCAGGAGTCCACGCGGAGGCTCATCCTTGTTGGGAGAACAGGGGCCGGGAAGAGCGCCACTGGGAACAGCATCCTGGGCCAGAGACGGTTCTTCTCCAGGCTGGGGGCCACGTCTGTGACCAGGGCCTGCACCACGGGCAGCCGCAGGTGGGACAAGTGCCACGTGGAAGTCGTGGACACTCCGGACATTTTCAGCTCCCAAGTGTCCAAGACAGATCCTGGCTGTGAGGAGAGAGGTCACTGCTACCTGCTCTCGGCCCCCGGACCCCACGCGCTGCTCCTGGTGACCCAGTTGGGTCGGTTCACCGCCCAGGACCAGCAGGCGGTGAGGCAGGTGAGGGACATGTTCGGGGAGGACGTCCTAAAATGGATGGTCATCGTCTTCACCAGGAAGGAGGACCTGGCCGGGGGCTCCCTGCACGATTACGTGAGCAACACAGAGAACCGGGCCTTGCGCGAGCTGGTGGCCGAGTGCGGGGGCCGGGTCTGTGCCTTTGATAACCGGGCCACCGGCCGGGAGCAGGAAGCCCAGGTGGAGCAGCTGCTGGGGATGGTCGAGGGCTTGGTGCTGGAGCACAAGGGCGCCCATTACTCCAACGAGGTGTATGAGCTGGCGCAGGTGCTGCGCTGGGCAGGCCCTGAGGAGCGGCTCCGGCGGGTGGCGGAGCGCGTGGCAGCCAGGGTGCAGAGGAGGCCATGGGGCGCCTGGCTGTCGGCCCGGCTGTGGAAGTGGCTGAAGTCCCCCAGGAGCTGGAGGCTGGGCCTGGCCCTGCTGCTGGGGGGCGCGCTCCTGTTCTGGGTGCTGCTCCACAGGCGGTGGTCGGAGGCCGTTGCGGAGGTCGGGCCTGACTGACAGCGCAGGTCCTAAAACTGAAGGCAACTTGGTTAAGGGAGGCTGAATTCTTGGAGCTGAAGGGAAAACTTCATTCCAACGGAAGGAATCCTGTAGTTTCAGGCATAGTTTTAATGACACAGAAAACTTTGCTGCATCACCTTTGCAACTTTGCCAAAGCTCAGAGTTCACTTTTTAAGTTTTTAACTCATTTTAAATGATGTGTATGCAGAGTTTTAAAATAAATTCGTCTAACAATAACTTCCTTTGGTAGTTTTGGTAGTCTAATGTCAAGTAGCTTGTAGTGGGGACAAACGCATGGCACAGGGAAAACAAGTGCCATTATTTTCGAGCTTTTTAAAAAATTTAGACTGCCCCTCCTTGATAATTTTCTAGTTCTTATACATGGGTAGATAGGTTCCTTTGTGATCCTTGTAGACTTTTAGCATCAATAAAAGAAATGTGGGGGTTACACACGTGAATGTTACTTCTGAGACATCAGTTTATAGTACAATGATTTACTACCAAAAAGATGAATGTAACTGTACTGTTACAAAGTGGAAAATAACAGTTTCCACTTTTCTAGAACATATTATGGTTCATGGCATTCCAAAATGAAGTAAGGGCCGGGCGAGGTGGCTCACGCCTGTAATCCCAACACTTTGGGAGGTCGAGGCAGGTGGATCACCTGAGGTCAGGAGTTCGAGACCAGCCTGACCAACATGGCGAAACCCCATCTCTACTAAAAATACAAAAATTAGCCAGGCGTGATAGCACTCGCCTGTAATCCCAGCCATTCAGGAGGCTGAGGCGGGAGAATCACTTGATGCAGTGAGCCGAGATCGTGCCACTGCACTCCAGGCTGGGTGACAAAGCAAGAATCTGTCTCAAAAAAAAAAAAAGAAAAGAAAAGAAAAAGAAAAAGAGTAGGATATTGGGAAAATAACATATAATATCTTCTATATGGTTATTCATATTTTTATCACACACACACACACACACACACACACACACAGTCTGTATCTCGAGCTCCTCTCTGGTTATGGAGAAGAGGCAGAGCACCAGGTGCATAGGCTGAGACTGCAGACACCTGAGCATCCTATGCTGTGAGGCGAAAGCATCCGGTTTTTTCGGGATGGGCCTGTCCAGGAAGGTTCTCGAATGCCACGTGATTAGAAAATTTGCCGCTGACTGGTTGTGCGAATCAAACAATAGGATTTCCTTATTTCTATTTCTGAGCATAATGAGAACCCTTTAAGGGAACTCATTGTCTTTAAATCAGCCAGCCTCTAGTGAGGTCATGGAGACATGGGAAGCAGGTATTCACATTAGCTCTATTCAAGAGGAAGAGGAGGAGGGAGTGTGCGCAGGCGCCCTAGGGTCTTCCCCAGCACACGTTGGGAAGAAGGGGTCTGCAAGCATGCGCACAATTGCCAGCTCAGGCTAAGGACTGCAGGAGGTTCCAGGTGGGTTGCGGGCTTCGGGCAGGCTATGGTGAGGGGTCCTGAGGGCCTTGGTGACCGCTGCAGGGAGTTGGACTTTTTGAAGCGTGGCTCAAGAAAAACCCATGTTTAATTCCTGCCTTTCGCTTCCTCAGCAGCCTTTCTGGGCCCAGGCAGGGGCCTCGAGCCAGGGAAGGATCCTTTGATGACCAGAGGGGACAGCAGGGAGGGCACAGCGTGGTCGTCCACGGTCACTTGCGCACGAGCCAGTGCTGCTGCTGGTGTTAGACAACAACTTTTATCAAAGTGGTTTAATGTACAGCAGCAACAAAGCTGCTTTGTGGAGCAGGGCTCCCAATAGGCAGTGTGCCCAGAGTAGCAGCTCGGAAGCAGTACTGCAATCACATTTATACCCACTTTCAACTATATGCAAATTTAGGGGTGGATTATGCCAAAATTTCTAGAAAAAAGGTCGTAACTTCCAGGTCGTGGGATTGTTGCTATGGAAAGGAGCCAAAACTTCCAGCTGTTGCCTTAGCAATGGTAACCTGACGTGGCACTGGTGAGTGTGTTTTATGGAGAGACTCTTTCACCTCTTCCCTTTCAGCTTGTCTTCAGTGTGGTCTGGAGCCCAATCCCCACCTCCAGAGTCTAGTCCTGCCTCCTACCTCAGTAATAAAAAGTAGTAGTATATGGTTAATTGTCAAATACATTTGCAAAGTGTAATCAAAGATACATTACCAATCTGAATCTCAAAATGTGCTATCATCTTTGAATTTGAATAATGTATTATTAAAGAAGTTACAGTTTTCCTTTACATTCAATAACATTTCTTTAGTGGTTTTCTTTTTCAGATACTTTGATTATGATCTTTTTTTTTTCATCTTTGTATCCCCGTTATACAACCCAGTGCCTGGCATAGAAAGTGGGATCAACAAATGTTTGGAAAATGAATTGTAAAGTTGACTTTCCTGTACCTTTTTAATATTAGATTTCTAGCTACCAGACTTTTGACCATTTTCTAAATTTTCTACCATAGATAACAGAAAATTCTTTCGCGCAAGCATGTCATTGTATTAATGATATTCTCCTGCCCTAAGGAAATTTACTTCCCTTCAAGCACAGGGTCCCCCAAATTACTGTATTTCCACCCCTTTCAGCTTATTTTATCCTTTTCTCCTGCTACAGAACAGTTGGCATTCACCATTCCCTTCGGTAAAGTCTTTTTTTAGGCTGTGGCTTAAAGGTTGCTTTTTCCCCCATAGCTCAAGGTTAGGCCTTGTGACCTCACTTATGTAATTTGAGTGATTTGATAGCACAAATCAATTTTATACTTAAATTACAGCATAAAACAGCACTGCCTCCTGTTGGAAAAACTTGCTTGCTAATTTTAACCAGACACAGTAAAAATACTGTCCAATACCTCAAAAATTGTGTAAATATATATCCATTTCAATTGTCCCCCTTCCTCTCCTCTCCTTTTATCTCTTGGAAGATAAAAATGTATGGGTCCTGTGCTGATAATGTTTCTGTTCATATTTCTATGCCCTGGTACCTGGATCAGCTTTTGTTCTACACAAAAAGACTTGTATCTGGCTTATTTCTGAAAGCTAGTGTTGGCCATGATGAACTTTTAGAGCAAAAGATTTCAGGCAGAGTACATTCTTACATATTCTTACACAATCAATATTCAGTTCCAGCCCGCACAGTAGCCCTAGCAAATGCCAGTGCTCCTTCCAGAGATTCACCTATGGATTCAGTACCCCAGAAGAGAATTTCTGTAAATTCTTGGGGAAGCTATAGCTAGACTATGGCTCAACACTCATTTTTCCCCCATGATTCTTAATCTAACAGTGGCAATGTTGGCCTCTTCTTAGGCAACTAGATTCGGTTCTTGCTTATTCTGCCAATAAAATACTTTATTGAGATGCTTACAAATTTGTCCCCTCCTCTTTATTTCTTTAAGAAGTTATCACTCCATATACTGGATGTTTAGTTATAATTATTGGTTTGAGTCTTATTTTTATACTTTCAATCACATTCTTTGCCTAATTCTTCTCATATTTTTATATTTTCTTTCCCTCCTCATAATTCTCTTTACATACCACTAAGTTTAGGCACTTGGACTTTTTTTACTTTCAAAATGGTGTTATATTGTGCATATCCTCTTGACTTCATACGTCTGAAGACTCCTAGACTATCTTTTCTACTACATGCTAGCAGAATGTATCATGATGAACACTGAAGAGAATTGCATACCACTGCTCAAAAATTAAACACACACACTTGCATGCATGCAAACGTGCGCGCGCGCACACACACACACACACACACACCAAGGATAGACATCTCAATCTCAAGAAATAAAAAGGAAAGAAAGACTTTCTGACTTCCAGTTCTGCAGAAGGATCAACTCCAGGTTTTAAGCCTGAATTATCAAAATTTGTCTCCAGTAGGCAGAGAAGGCCTTCTTCTTGGAAAGCCACTGATTCTTTCTTGTGTTAAAGGAGATAACTAATATTCTCTGTAGGTCCCTCTATAACAGCTTGCACATGAAGACCTAGATCAAGATTGTCTCTGATGCTCAGTTAGGGTTACTCAGAATCAATAAGATCAATGGAGGCCGGGTGCATTGGCTCACGCCTGTAATCCCAGCACTTTGGGAGGCCAAGGAGGGTGGATAATGAGGTCAGGAGATCGAGACCATCCTGGCCAACATGGTGAAACCCCATCTCTACTAAAAATACCAAAAAAGAAAAAATAATGAGCCGGGTGTGGTGGTGCAAGCCTGTAGTCCCAGCTACTCAGGAGGCTGAGGCAGGAGAATCACTTGAGCCCAGGAGGCGGAGGTTGCAGTGAGCCAAGATCGTGCTGCTGCACTCCAGTCTGGGTGACAGAACGAGACTCCATCTCAAAAAAAAAAAAAAAATCAATGGAACATAGATCTTATGGTAAAGGTGGCTAGATAATTAGTACAATACTCCCATAGAGAATAATGTTAACACTCTGGATAAAATAAATTAAATAGTAAGCTTCAAAGACCTAACAAAAGAGTGAGGAATTTCTAGAACAAACCTAAGAAAATTGAAAACCCAGAAACCTAAGCCTGATAAGCAGCCACTTTTGCCCTTAGGGTATTTTCAGGTCAAGTAGAAACAGCTTAAAGATGGAGCCACAATTTGGGATTTGGTAATTTTATAGGATAATCAGGATAAAAGTAAAATCCACAATCCATCCAAAGTGAAGAATGTCATCCTCGCCTTACTTTTAGAAAGGAGCCCGCCTGTAATCCCAGAACTTTGGGAGGCTGAGGCAGGCGGATCACCTGAAGTCAGGAGTTTGAGACCAGGCTGGCCAACCTGGTAAGACCACGTCTCTACTAAAAATACAAAAAATTAGCCAGGCGTGGTGGTGCATGTCTGTAATCCCAGCTACTTGGGAGGCTGTGGCAGAAGAATTGCTTGAACATGGGAGGCAGAGGTTGCAGTGAGCCGAGATTGTGCCATTGCACTCCAGCCTGGGTGACAGAGTGAGACTCCATCCCAAAAAAAAGAAAAAAGAAAAAAAGGATCCTAAAGTGATAAATTCTCAGATGTAAATCATCCTTCCTGTAGACTGGTAGTGTGAGTGTCCTTAGACTTGATTAAAGCGGTCTTTCTCCAATAGTGTCTCAAGATTTGGCATTAAAAAGGAATTGTACCTGGAGGATGATACTAATATTTTGGGCCTTAAATTTTCCCTTGAACACTTCTTTTTAAATGTAATGTCTAGCACTCAGAGAAAACCAAACACCAAAAGAAACATGATGCAATGAGAAAACCAAACAAAAAGTAACAGAAACAAATAAGCAAAAACTTGAGATACTATAATGATCAGATATGGGTGTAAAATAAGTATACTTACAATATCTAAGACAATTTTTAAGCAGTCTTTAAAATGTCTTCAGAAAATAGGAAAATATAAAACTGACATGATACATTTGCAAACATACCAAATAAAACTATTAGAATTGACAAACGGAATGTGGCAGCCATAAAACATGCCACCCATGTCACCAGCTCTGGAGAGTATGATTGGTAAATGGCCCTGCTTCTGTCCTTCTGGACCCACCACCATGTTTGTGCCAAAGGCATGCCACCTGCAGACTGCTCCCAGCCAGTGAGCTAGCACATTGGCATGGTGAGGGTACTCAGGCTCCTCCTGGAAAGACATGAGCTTCCTCTAACTGGTGGCTTGGCTCAAAGACTCTCTCTTGGCTCTCTGAATCTTTCCTGGAACTGCACTGCCCACGACTCTTCCTAACCAAACCTTCTTTCTTTCCACTCTCCCTTCACAGGTGTCAAACCATTATGGTCTGAAATCTATCCTTCCCTCTACATGCTTCTGCCTCCATTAAATTTTTTGTACATCCAATCCAGTTTTGGTGTTTCCTCCTTCACAAACCTGAACTTATATAACTGAAATTAACAACTCAGTGGACAGATTTAATGGATTAAACAGTGCTGAAGAGAGAATCAGGATAGAAGAAAATACGGAATGCAGCCCAGAGATACCAAATAGATAGGCAATGTGGAGAGAGGGTAAGAAATATAGAGAAAAGAGTGAGAAGATTTAACATATTAATCATCATTCTGAAAGAATGGAAAAACATAGGTTCACAGAGATAAGGCAAAAAGAAAAAAGGAATAGAAAAACAGGAGTTAAGACAATATCTGAAAACATGAGAATTTTCCAGAACAGATAAAATATATCAATCCACTAATTCAATTAAACCAATAAACTTAAAGCAGAAAAAAAGACATATTATAAAAGAGTGAAAATTGGACTGACAACTGACTTCTAAAAAGAGGCAAAAAAAAAAACCTGTTCTGCACAAGACTTCTATTACACATATACAAAGAACACCCTGGATTCTGTGATAGTTAATTTTATGTGTCAGCTTGATTGAACTAAAGGATGCCTAGATAGCTAGTAAGATATTATTTCTGTGTGTGTTTGTGAAGGTGTTTCCAGAAGAGATTAGCATTTGAATCCGTAGATTCAAACGAGTAAAGAAGTTCTGCCATCACCAATAGGGGCAGACATCGTCTAGTCTGTTGAAGTTCCAAATAGAACAAAAAGGCAGCAAAGGGCAATTCATTCTCTCCTCTCGAGCTGGGACATCCATCTTCTCCTGCCTTCAAACAATGGAGCTCCTGGTTCTCAAGCCTTTGAACTCTTGGACTTACACCAACAACCTCCCACACACACACCTGGTTCTTGGACCTTTGGCCTCAAACTGGGAGAGTTACATCATCAGCTTCCCTGGTTCTCAGGCCTTCAAACTTAGATTGGATTACACCATCAGCTTTCCTAGTTCTCCAGCTCACAGACAGCATATTATGGGGCTCTCAGCCTCCATAATCATGCAGACCAACTACACACACACACACACACACACACACACACTCACGCACACACAATGGGTTCTCTATTTTTGGAGAACCCTCACGAATACAGCTGCCATTAGGAAGAAGGTCAGGATCACTGAGAAAGCCCAGTGCCCAAAGCCCAGGCACATAGGGCATGCCTAAGACTGAAGCTATGTAAGAACAACAAAGAACACTTCTCTGCCCTTGCCATATATCTAAAAAAATACTGGGTGATTAACAAGCAATCCAGTCTACTATAGGGAAGTGTCAAAGCCTGGAACCACCCTCTATGAAGTGGAGTTATGCAGAGATAACTGAAATCTGAGGGTGAATGGAACAGGAACACCAGGTAAAGCCCTGTGGCATTTCAGTCCCCACCTAAGCACAAGGCAACACTAAACAAATTAAAAACCTAAGATGCACTGAAGGTAACCATAGCAACAACCCCAACCCAGTTCAACTCTTAATTAGATTGACTCAACTGAACACTAACAGCCTGACAGAAGAAGAGGCATAACCATTCTAGGTATAAATACTATTTATCCCAATCTACTTTCCTACTGTGCATATTTACAATTTAATGAAGTTATAATGTATTCAGAAAAGCAAAAGTATAATAATCCATAATAAAAGGACAAAACAATCCACAGAACCAGACTCAGAAATAATCCAGAAGTGGGACAGGGACTTTAAAATAATTATGATTACTATGCTAAAGGACGAAGTGAAAAATGTAGACAACATGTAATAAAATTTTAGGCATTTCAACAGAGAAATGGAAACTATAAGAGTCAAATGTAAATGTTAGAAATTAAAAACATTCTATGAGAAATGAAGTATTCCTTAAGGGTTACATCAGTAGACTTGACACAGTTGAGGAAGGAATCAGTGAAATTGAAAATAAGTTAATAGAAATTGTTCAAACTGAGCAAAAGGAGAAAAACAAATGAGGGGAAAACAATATCTAGGAGTTATGAAATTATATCAAGCAGTTTAACATACCTGTCAAAAAGGGAGAATGGACAGAAGAAATATTTGAAAAGGAAATGGTTAAGACTTTTCTAAAAGTATTGAAGGACACCAAACTACAGATCCAAGAAACAGAGAGCTCCAAGCAGGGTAAACACATAACAAAGCAAAACAGAAAATCTAGACATTTTATACTTAAACTGTTGAGAACCAATGATAAAGAGGAAGTCTTAAATATAACTAGGGGGAAAGGACATTATATTAGAAGAATAAATATTAGAATTGCAGCTGATTTTTTGTCATAAACTACAATTCAGAACACAATTGAATAGCATCTTTATAATACTGAAATACAAAAAACTACCCAGAATATTATAGCCAGTAAAAATCTTTCTAATATGATGGTGAAATAAAGAATCTAACTAACAAAAGCTGGAACAATTAATTATCAACTTATCTTCACTATAAGAAATGTTAAAAGAAGTTTTTCAGGCAGAAGGAATGAATATGACACCAGATAGAAATTTGAATCTACACAAAGAAATGAAAAGCCCTAGAAATGGAAAAAATAAATACAAATATAAAAGAAATTTCTTTTACATTTTATAGCTCTAACAAAAATAGTAATAGTGTATTAGGGAAGTTATAAAATATGTAAAAGTTTACAACAATAATATAAAAATGGGAAGGATGAATTGCAAATACACTATTGTAACTTTCTTAAAATATATGTGAAGTAGCCTGAAATTTTTATAGGTAGATTGTGATAAATGATCTAAAATCCATTTAGATTGGTTAAAACCACAAGAAAACCATAAGATTCAACCATAGGCTATCTACTAAAAAATTCACTTTAAATATAATGACTGAATTGGTTATCTATTGCTGCATAACAAATTACCACAAATGTGACAACTTACAACAACACACAATTATTATGTCACAGTTTCTGTGGATCAAGAGTTGATATTTTTGGAATGTTTGGCCCCTCATTTCTCATGTTGAAATGTAATCTCTAATGTTAGAGGCAGGACCTGGTGGGAAGTGTTTGGGTCATGGGAGTGGATCCTTCATAGAAGGATTGGTGCTGTCCTCACTGCAGTGAGTGAGACCTGGTTATTTGGAAGTGTGTAGCACCTCCCCCACACTTTGCTGTTACTCTCATCGTGTGACATGCAGGCTCCCCTTTGTCTTCCACAATGATTGGAAGCCTCCTGAGGCCCTCACCAGAAGAAGATGCCAGCACTGTGAGGCCCTCACCAGAAGAAGATGCCAGCACTGTGCTTCCTGCACAGCCTGCAAACTGTGAGCCAAAATAAATGTATTTTCTTTATAAATTACTCAGTCTCAGTATTTCTCTATAGCAATGCAAAAACAGCCTAGCACAGGAATCCAGACATGGCTTAGATGGATCCTCGACTCAGGGTTTTGTGAAGCTGAAATCGAAGTCTTACCCATGCTGCCATTTGGAGCTCAGGGTCCTTTTCCAACTTCATTCGGGTTGTTGGCAGAATTCAGTTGTTTGTGGTTGAAAGACTGTTGTTGTGGGTAGATCCTAGAGGCTGCCCCTCTCCATATATTCACAGGCAGTTTAAAGCATGAATGTTTTCTTTCTTAAAAGCTGGAAGTATCTCTTGCTCTTAAGGCTTCTTTTAATTAGGTGAGACCTACCCAGAATAATCTCCCCTTTAACTAATGCAAAACTAGCTGATTAGAGACTTTAATTAAATTTGCAAAATCCCTTCACTTCTACCATGTAAACCAATCATAGGAATGTCATTCATTCTATTCACAGGTCTTCCCACACTAAAGAAGAAGAGATTATCCAGGGCATGTATACTAGTTTATGGGAATCTTGGAGCCCACCTTAGAATTCTGCCTATCACAGTCATAGAGATGGCTTAAAAGAATGAGGAAATAAACATCATGAAAACACTCATCAAAAAAAAGCTGGAGAACCTACATTAATATAACATAGATCCGTAGTCCACAGAGCAAGGAATATTGTCAAGGATAAAGATGGACATTATATGATGATAAATGTGTTAATGTATCAGAAAAATATAAGAATCCTTAGAATATTTGCACCTAAAAACAGAGCTTCAAAATACATGAAGCAAAACTAAAGAAACCAAAAAGATACATAGACAAATCCAAAATTATACTTGGATACTTTAAACCTTCTTTCTCAGTAATCAATAAAACATGTAGACAGAAAACCGTAAGAATACGGAAGGTACAAGACTGGATACATTCCCTTAAGTTCAGGAAAAGGCCAGAATGTCCCTCATTGCCACTCCAATTTAATGTTTTGATAGAGATCCTGCCAGTGAAAGGAGGCAAAGAAAAGAAATTAAAAGCACACAGATTGGAAAGAACAGAATAAAAACTGTTTTTATTTGCAGATGACATAATTTTCTATGAAGAAAATCTCAATCAAGAAAAAATTCTAGAACTAATAAATTAACAAGGTCAGAAAATACAAGGTCAACAAACAAAAATCAATTATGTTCTTGCATACTTGTAATGAATGACTGGAAACTGAAATTAAATCATCAATACCTTTTATAGTACCATTAAAATTATAAAATATTGGGATTAATCTAAGGTTTTTACACTGAAAACTACAAAACATTGATGAGGAAAATCAAACAAGACCTAAATAACTGGAACAATATTATGCCATGTCCATGAATCAGAAGATTCAATATTATTCAGATATCAGTTATTTCCAAATGAATCTGTAGAGTCATGCAATCACAATCAAAATCTGGAAGGATTTTCTTATATATTTTTCAAGCTGATTCTAAAATTTATATTTAAAAACCAAAACCATTTTGAAAAAGAAAAAGAGAATTTCCACTTCCTGATCACAAGATTTATATATAGCTGCCATCATCATAACGGTGAGGTACTGGTGAAAATCAGACATAAAGATCAATGGAACAGAATACAGTTCAGAAATAGACATATATATATGATCAATTAATTTTTGAAAGGGTACCAAAGTAATTTAATAAAAAAGGATACTCCCTGCAAGATAAGTTGATGGAATGAAAAACTGGACATATATTTGCAAAAAAAATCTTGATTTATATCTCACGCCATATACTAAAATTAACTAATGTGGTCTTCTGAAAACGGTTTCTCTAGACTGCAGTCTCCTTATCTGTAATATGGGGGAGGAAAGGACTAGTTTACATGATCCCCAAGATTCTTCTAGCTCTCACCTTCTGTGCCTGTGCCTTTTTCCTTTCCCTTCCACACAACTCAGTTATTCACTGGGTTAAACTCAAATGGCAGACGTGTACATGCAAGTCTCCATGAGGCTTATGGCAGCACAGGCTGTAGTTTTCATAGAAAAGCCACAGGAGGTATGACTTCTAATGTTGTCACTGAACTGTTTCTAACACTTCTTGTGCAAATCAACTGCCTTCACACATTCAGCTTTGCCTCCACTTTTTATCATTGCTCTTGCTGTGTTTTCCCTTCTCTGAAAAAGCAAATAGGCAGCCACTGTGGTCCTTGCTTAGGCTCCCAGGATACAGAAGCATCCCCAGGCCAGGAACCCCATGTCCTGGATCTGGGAAAACCTGGCCTTGACAGAGACGGTGGGGCAGCTTGGGAGCACTGCTTGGGGCAGAATCTGACAGAATCTCCTGATAGCTTCAGGAGAGGAGGTCTGATAGCTTCAGGAGAGGAGGAACCAGAGATCTTGGGGTGGGATATGTTAAAAGACAATGTGCACCCCAAGAAGCCTGGGCCAGTCCTACAGATGTGCCTGTTGGTAACTCTGATACCCCATGATGTCAAATGTCAATAGTAATTTCAGACAGAAGGAAAGCAAGACCCAGACAGCAGGACTTTGTATATTATATTTTTTTCATCAAAAGTAGAGCTTCCCAACTTTTTCATGTCGATGTCCACATGGTAACATTTGTCACAACATAGTGTGTAAACAGAAGAGGCTGCTCTCAACCTCAGATGCAACTGATCTCAGGCCTCGAGCCACCTTGGGGTTTTGGGGGGCTCTTTGTCTCCCCTCTGAAGGGTGAGGGGGAAAATATCTCAACAAACCTATAATTGATAGACAGCTCAAGGGCCGAGAATTTCCAATGTAATGACTCAAAAGGAAATCAGCCTGGTGAGGGTACACCTCAGCAAGCTCAGAAACATTATTCGTGACAGGAAGATATCAGCTTGTGGATCCCAAGATGCTCACCAGGAGACATTCAGTTGCAGGTGATAATGTCAGGGTAGAGGAGGGTCTCATTAGGCTTTCAGGAGGGTCCACCCCACTCCAGATGCAACAGGAGCTGTCCTCCATGGTGCCAGCCAGGAAATCTTCAGGGACCTTATCATCCCATCTGGACCTCATCTAACTCATCTAATAAACAACTAGAGGAGAGCGTCAAGGCATGCATTCAGTCCTGCTGCTCCCTCTTGGCCTTTTGAGCTAACTAAATGGGTGAAGGTTCTACTCTAAATGCAATGCTATGGAATTAGACAACTAGACATCAGCTACCCAGACAACTCCAGAGGTCATGACAACAAGCTCTTAAACCTGCTCTAGGCACTGTCCTGCCCTGACACCTACATACTCTCTGCTTCCTTTAAAATAACCGCTTCAAAGGGCCCCTTCTCCACCTCCAGTCAACCTTGATCACATGTCCAAGTTCTACTCCACACCTCAGGGCTTTCTCCTTGGGGTTGGTCCGTTTTGACCTCTTTTCTTCCCAAAATCCTGCTTAATACATTGTCTAAAACTGTGCTATCATGTATTTTTTACCATGACCCTCAGTTTTATACTGCTTCCCAGAGCTTACATACACTCATATTTTGTGTGACTAATTTTGATAGTTTCTATTCTACTCTATTTCATGTTTTGATGCTCTACAATGGGGTGTATGAAATACACTTGTCCAAAACATTCATTTGGGACCCTTACTCATTGTCTTTCATTTGCATAAGTCTTGTCTCTCTAATAAGATTTCAGATTCCTTACGAGGGTGGCTTTTTGTCTGCTTCCCATGGGTGCTGTCTGGACTTACCACCCATTAGGTCTGGTGTGGTGCAAAGGCTCAGGAGAATAGGGTAAATTTGCTTCAAAAGATGCAATATTTAGATACTTAGAGTGTACTTCATGGCATCGTTAATCCTTCCTCCATGTTGTATGTCAACTGTGGGCTCAAATAGTGGCCCCTTTTATTGACCTGGATGTTTCTGAATCCTCAACTCTACCTCCTGGATTCACCCCTAGATGATCTCCGCCCCCACCGTGAAGCCTCTTCAGCAGCTGTGGTCTCTGTAGAGCACCCTGATCCAGGAGGCTCCTTTCCTCACCTCCAATTAGAGGCGCCCCTGACCTGGACCCTCTCAGCCCTGAAAAGAGTAGCCATGACCTTGTCCAGACACAAAGGAAATAATAATGTTGATAATATAGAAATGCCTGCATTTTAATACTTTTTTTCAGCATCTTTTACCTGCTCTTTGATTTTCGTAAGAACACAATGTTCTAAAAAAAAGTTCCAAGAAAGAACTTTTTTTAGAGTGACTACCGACAAGGAAGAGAAATCACACTTCAGCATTTGGCTTCAGGGCCTCCCAACATTGACTTGGGGTTTCATTTCCACATTTCCCACTAGTCATGTTCATAGGAGACCTTCATGGAATAGGGTGAGATGATGGATGAAGAGACAGAGGCCAGATGGTGAAAGACAGCAAGCATGACTAAGAGTTAGGAGACCTTGTGGTGACCAACAGGCTCACTTTGACTGGGACTAAGGGGTTTCCCAGGACGTGGGCCTTGTAGTACTAAATCCAGTCAAATTCAGGGCAAGTTGGCGGTTGGTCACCTAGGACCTCAGCCCAGTGGCTCAGGAGAAAGTGGTAAATGCCATGCCTCCTCTTTCCCTCATTCTCCCTTCCTCCTTCATCAGAAGGCAATAATTGTCTGTCTCCCATTTCAAACAGAAGGTCCAAGGCATGAACCCAGGGGTCCTTGAATCACTCCAAGTTGGTAGGGAAGGTGGCTGCCCAAAATGTCTCCGAGATGGAGCTTTGGCATCTCCTCAGCTTAATAAAGCTGATTCTCAGGGCAGCCTACAGGTATCTACTCTGAGATGGCTACTGCACTCAGAACTCCAGAAACTTCATCACATAGCTAGAGCACATGAGTTGCAACTCAGCGTGCTCAGTTCTGTGCACCAGGGAGCATCACAGAGAGAAAGCAGGGATAGCAGAGGTGGCTGGGGATGGATAGAGACATGCTTTCAGTAATGATTCATCATATTTTGTACTATGTCAGGTTTGGTAGAGAACTGTCTCTGTCCAGGCTGAAAAGGGATTGAATTTGGTGTCAAACAGAAGGGTAGGGAAAATGGCCACTTCCTCGGTGTCCCAGGTTTCCTGGGGGTTTGTTTGTTTTGCAAATCTGAACAGAGGAATAGAGAGGGTGTGGAAAAAGGCACAAAGAGTCTAGTTTTGGAAATCCTTTCATATCTGGATATATACGAATTTCTACAACCCTACTTTCTGAAAGTAGCTACCTAAGATTATTCTTCTAGCACTAAATGTAACTACAAAAGGGGACATGAGGGAAGAGTTAGAGCATTTAAGTTGTATGTTTTACTGATTTACTCAGTAAGTATTTTTGAGCACTTTCTAGGGCTAAGTTCTAGCAAGATCCTGACCTAAAGACAGTCCCTGGCCTCTAAAAAGCCCACGATCTCACCCAGAAAACTGATAGAGACCAGTTAACACATTTCATCATTGACTCCCTGGGGTCTCTTTGAGCCATAAGAGGAGCCTGGGAACTGCTAGAGAAGAGATAAGACTTAGAGAACAGATCTCAAAGCAGAAAATCAGTCCTTAGCTGGGGTGCCAGAGCACCCAGTTCAGTGGATAAAAATAATGTTTGCAAATAGTTCAAACCAAAAGGAAAGAAGAGAAGGAGTTTGAAGATGTTGCCAGAATTAAGTGAATTTGCTACATTGATGGGAATGGTTAGCTTCGGTGCCCCTCACTGTTTATAAGATTTTGATGTGAACTCTGTTGGTCAAGTTTTTGAAAGATTCCAGCCAGGTGCTGGGGGAGTACCTGGTCCCTATCTAGCAAGGGTGAAATCCTGGTCAGATTACAGCCCACTTTCTGCCCTGCTCTGCTCAATTCACATAAATTATGAGTGCTGACTAGGTTGAAAGTCCTTGAAGAATTTAAAAATGTAAGGGCGAATAAAAATCAAAAATAAGGAGAAAACATTAATTCTCTTTTCTGGGGAAAAAACAAAGTGGAAAAGAATTACCCCTCCCTTCTTAGAGCATTTTCTTTAGAAACCTTGTAAGTGTGAAATCTTTCTCTACCCTTTGTAATGCAAATCTTTTTAAAAGCTGTTTGACAGCCCAGGGCTGTCTGTAGAGCATCTGGAAGCCATCCCTTTGAAATGCAAACATCAAGGAAGGTAGCGTCCCCACCTCCCAGTCTCTGTGTGAAAATAGGGGCCTAATTTAGGAGCCTAACTTAGGTAGGAGCCTGACATCTGCCAGCACCTTTCTGAGTTGCAAATCTTCCTCTTGCCATAGAGGATGTGAGAAGTTTACTTTTCCTCTGGAAAGACAATTAGCCAACACAGATGATTACTGAGTGAATTTAGGATGAACTATGCATGTCAAAGGGTGCTGTCAAGTCCTCTTACTTGAGGATTAGTTATGGTTTAACTTGAGAACACGTGTGTAATAGGTGGCACCTGCCTGGCTGTATAACCAGGTGGCATCCCTCTCCGTCTTTGCAATCTCTTCCTGGATTGTCTGGGATCCAGATCACATTCTGGTTCAATGGACATTCAATAATAAAATTGTTTTCTTTCTCTTCTGCCTCTGTGGAGAGGTTTTCTGGGCTAGCAGGAGATTGTTTAAAATTGTTTTCCCATCAAGTCTTAGACAATTGTTACCATATGACTGTAAGCCCCACTTCAAATGTCAACAGAAAAGGATATGGGGATTCTCTGGGCCATGACGGCCCTCCGCCTAAGTCCCACTGTGTTCTCCATCGCATAATTGCCTTATGTCCACTGCCCTAACCTTAAATGGCAATCAGGTTTATGTCCACTGCCCTAACCTTAAATGGCAATCAGGTTTATGTCCACTGCTCTAGCCTTAAATGGCAATCAATTCAAAAATAGAGGTTCTATCACCCTGCTTTCAACCCTTACCAGATAAACTGACACGTAGACTCCACAATGTCCCCACAGGGTGGGCTCCATCACGTGCCAGACAGCTTACCAGGGTCAGTCACGAGCCCAGAGTCAAACCCTGCAAGGGCTTGTTCTGGTCCTCTTTGGACCAGAGTGCCTTTCTGATCCTGGTTAGCAGAAACTTTCCAGAAGCAGAGCCTGTGAGAAGGGGCCCAAGAGTGCTGGGAGGAGAAGGTGCCCCGGTGATGGGTGCTGAGGGCAGCAGCTGCTGCCCAGAACTTTCCAGTCACTAGGGACCTTTTCTGAACTTGGAAGTGGGAGAGTCTGTAATTCCCTTCATATCTCCTTCTTCCAAATACTGCTTGCTTGAAACAGTCAAAAAAAAAAAAAAAAGGAAATGGGATGGGGCACACTGTCCCAGGGCAGGCTCATGACAGGAAGTGACCCGTTAAGGAAGCAGCACATCGCTGCATTCGGCTGGTTTTCAGGGTCTTGTTCCCAATCAGTTTCCAGCCAACACCAGGGTGTCCTAGTCCGCAGAGGTGTGGGGGACACACTCCATAATCTCTACTTTTCTTTTTGTGCAGCTGAGTCATGGAGCTTTCAGCCCCAGCACATGGCTCCTCCTTAACTGCGTCTGCTCAACCTCCCTCAGCCCTGTGAACAGCATCCCCGCACACAGACGCAGAGCAGGACTCTCTCTGCTGCCACTTCACCTTCCTGAGAGAGGACCAGCGGCCAGAGCCTCAGTGACTGCCACCCTGGAGGACAGGGCACAACAACCGTTTCTGGTAAGGAGAACTGGGTTTATGCTCACAGAGACTTTGGGAATTGAAAGGATCACAGTTTGGTCACAGCTGTTCATTTCTGACATGACCTTGCACAGATCCCCTCACTTCTGGGTTCGCTGGTCAGTAAAACGGGGCAATGGTGATGAGTGTTGCGGGCATCAGCAGGTGCACAGCTGGTGGAGCACAGCCTGAAGAATCTGTGCCTGCACTCACAGCCCAGTCCCAGGACAGCGGGCTTTGCTGCCCCATTGCCCATTACTTAGCCAAGTCGATCTCCATGAAACTCTCAGGGAGTAAGGCTGAACTGATCCTCTCATCAGTGGGACAGATGGGAGAACTGAAGCTCCCAGAGGGTGATAGGCTTTCCCCCATCTCCCCTAGCATGCCGGGGCATTCTTCTCAATTTTACCCTCCTAATTTCTCCTGTCCCAGACCAGCCAGACACGTACCATGTCTCAGACAAGCCTGGGAGCTGAGGATGGATTCTTAGGGCTCCCCAGGGCAAATGTGGGATATTTTCCCACCCCAGGAGCCTCATGTTCCAAACAAGACCCCTGAGTGGACCTTGTCTTGTGACTTTCAACTTCTGAAAACTACCCCATGCTCCCCCAGATGCCCCACATTTTTCCTATGACACCCTGCCGGACGCACACCAAACCGCAAAACACATGATTCCAATACCTGGAAATACATGGGCTGGGGCAGATGGGTGAAGGAGATACTTATGAACAAGGAAGACAAGAAGTGGTTTGATCTTTTCTAAAATAGTATGGAAGAGGCTGCTTTCTTGTAATTTGCTAAAATAAGCTCTTCTCATGGTAAAATCAGGTTCATGCAATTTTCAAATCGGAATGTGCATTTTGTTCATTTGCTTCACCCTTTTCCCTGAGCCAGACCCTCCCACCAGCTTGCCAGAGGCTGCTACTGTCTTGCTTGCACACTGCCTTCCAATCTCTCATGAACTTTGGTCTCTTTTGTGGGACGATTAGTAAAATTTTTCCTTTGGAGAAGACGCCTGTCTTCATTCTCAATTCCTCCACTTTTGTCTGCCCTGTAGACCAACACGTATCACATTCCTTCAAGCCTACGGTGTGTCCACCACGCTCTATTCAGTTCTTTTATAATCTTCTCCATGACTCATTTTAGCATTGCCATCAGTATCCTTTCTGACTCACCTGTGAACACTTTGTTATTTGTGAATATCTGCCAAAAAATGTATTCCTCAATGCAGCCTGATCCACTCAGAAAGCTTGGATTGGGAGAGCTATTGTTGCTGGTCATTGGCTAACATAACATAGTTTGACTGGCTTTTGTGACAGGCAATTGGCTGTTTTAAAAGAAAAGACCTCAATTCAGAGAAACTCCTGCCACCAGCAATTTTATTTTTGAATAACCTTTTATAAGAAATGCACTCAAGATTTTGCAATAAAATTCTGTGTGTTGGTTTTAGGGTAGGCTTCTAGCTGTCCAATTAATTTGTCTCCTGACCAGGGAGTGGCAGCATTGTACACATGTTCCAAGAGGTTTGTTGACTTTTTTGGAAAAGTCTCTTTTTCCACCTGTGGAATCAAGGACAATACACAGCAAAAGGAGCCATTTCCTGATGCTAGCTCCATTGTAAATATGTGACCTTTGGCAGGTCATTTAATGCTCAGTTTCCTTGCATTTTAATAGAAATTTTAAGATCAGTTTTGATCACATCACAGGGAATTTGAGAGAGCAATTAAAATAAGAAGGATGAAATAACTTTGAAAATTATAAATGTATTCACAGAGGCTTATTACAATTATGATGTTCATAATCAATATCATTACCACTGTCATCTTGACCCTTACCACATCATTATGTTGATTCCAAACCTCAGAAAACGTCATCTAAAGTAGAGAGGATGTCAGGGAACTGGTGCTATTTTAGCAAAAGCCAGAAGCATAATTTACCAGAGACGAGAACAGGGTGTGGGAGAGAGGAAAATGTTCTTCTCTGGGCTTAAGAAAAAGAAAGAAAGGAGAGAGGGGAGGGTAAAGAGGAAAGGAGGAAGAAAAGAAAGAAGGGAAAGGGAGGGAGGCAGGAAGCTGTCTTAATACATTCTGATAATATAAAAATAGATTTCTTGACCTAAAGAAGGCCAAGAAAATCCACTGAATGAATAGAAAAATGTGGAAAAGATAGAAATCACAGAAGTTATTAAAAATTGAAGTTTATAAATTACCAAAATAGCAAATAAACCATGAAAACTGTTTTTAATTTAATGATAATCAGTAAAATGTAAGTTTAAGCCAATTAAGACATCCTTATTTATGCCCATAAGGATGACAGGAAATTAAAAGTGTAATATTACTAAGTGCCTGTGAAGATTTGGGGACTTCTTATAAATGGGTGGTGCAAATAGGAGTTAACTCAACTCCCTGGGAGTCATATTTGGCAATAACCAGTCACGTGGAAAATGTACATCCCCAATACTGTTGCACAATGCTGGAAACCCGGAGCAGGCAATGAGTTGTTCTTGAATTCGGCCTGAAGTTGATTCTTTCTCTTCAATCACCTCACTACCTCCTCTCCACCAACCGTCAGGGTGGGAAAGCGGTCATACCGGTCCCCCTATACCATTTCCTCTCACGTCAGTTCTTCGTGTCCCTGATCCCCACTTCCATCCTCCCACTGGACAGTACCTTGTAATTTCCTCTCCGCCGCTGGAATGTCCATTTGACACAAAGACTTTCTGGGACTGGAAGTTTCCACTACTTCAAATAAACCAATCTTATTTACAGCAAGGCAATTTTTTTTTCTCTATTCTGGTAAGTTTGTTACTTTAATTTCAATTTTTTTAATGCCTACTCTTTGTTCCATAGAAGAATGCTTTCTCCATTTCATGCCTTTCTGGTTGGGGGAGATAATCAACTGATTTGCTTCAAAATATTTCCTGATTTTCTGTAAGTTGAGGGGAGGGAAGTAATCGTGCACTATTTTAGCATAACCTAACATCTAACATCACCTGCTTTGTTTAAAGTTATTTACAGATGTTTCAAAGTAAAGTATGAGTTAGAAAATTAGGGATGGAAATGGCTCATTTGAGAATGATTATTCTTAGATGTCTGAATTGAGGTGCCCTCAGGCTCTACCAGCTCCCAAACGTACATCTGCTTTTTATCCTTTTCCTGTTTTTATTCCAGGAGAGAATGGGAGGATTCCAGAGGGGCAAATATGGAACTATGGCTGAAGGTAAGAAAGTCTTGAAGTTCTCAAGAGCCCCAGACACTTGGGAGAATCACAATTCTCTCCCCATCTACCCCCATCTAAAACACAGTGGCAGAAACCCATTCATTTTAAATGAAGAAGATAAAGGCAACTATCATCACGTGTGTGTTATCAAACCATCACACACACACACAGACACACACACACACCATAGTGTGATGCTCTCCCTGCATCAGGTATGTGGGAAATGTGGAAAGGAAACCAAGTCATAGGTTGAAGGGTCTGGAAGCAAATGGTGAATATGTTTTCTCTTTCTTTGTCTGCTGACAGCTCAAAAAGAAAAGGTCCCCATAGGGATTTAGTCATTGTGCTTGCTACAAAACACCACAGAATAACTTAAGAAAACGAAGAACCAACCCAGAGTGGGAGAAATAAAATAATAGATTTTTAAGAGCCTAAAATGCACTTCGAATTCATTTGGGCTCTAGAAATCCACAGGTTCTCCCCTCTTCGTGCCTGAAGATTTTCGCTCCTGCCACAGTGTCACCCTCTCCAACACCACTTCTGCTATAATTTTGTGTGCTTCAATCAGCCACATAGATGAGCTTTTCAACACACATGCTTCTATTGAGCTTATCTTCCACCTTTTTGAGCCATCCACCCTAGGGTCATCTCCCAGACGCTGCCCTAACATTAACTACAACCTATGTCATCTCAATTTCAAACATTTCACTCCCTATCCAGAGGGCACAGACCCAGGGACAGGCAGCTGACCCCCGGCAGTGGGTCACTATAGATTTGCCAGTGGAGACCTCCTTGACCCTCAAGACTTGGATGAATGTGTGGAGTGTGTCTATACAAGTGTGCCTGGAAATGTGTGGGTGAAAGAGAAGTAATTGGATTTTCTCACTTGTAACTACTAATCCCCTGCCTCTTTCTAATAATTCTCCATGGAGCTGGCCTAAACACCACGCAGGGGAAAACACAAGGACCATTTTCTTTCAGGAAAGCTCTATTTGCCACAATCCAGATGAAGTGCTTAAAGCATCCCCTTAATGCAACAGTTCTAATTCCTGGCTGTGGATCCAAGCATGGGCTTCCAATGGGGCTTTCTACATGCAAGATTCACCTATAGTTGTATGCACACTTTTATGTACACATAAATATGTCTGTCATTCTGGGGAGGACGTTCATAGCTTTCATGAGATAACCATGAACAATGACCTAACAGTCTTAAGAATCATTAACTTAGTAAGATACAAAACTTCGTTTTCTACAGGTAGATCAGAAGATAACTTGTCTGCAACACCACCGGCATTGAGGATTATCCTAGTGGGCAAAACAGGCTGCGGGAAAAGTGCCACAGGGAACAGCATCCTTGGCCAGCCCGTGTTTGAGTCCAAGCTGAGGGCCCAGTCAGTGACCAGGACGTGCCAGGTGAAAACAGGAACATGGAACGGGAGGAAAGTCCTGGTGGTTGACACGCCCTCCATCTTTGAGTCACAGGCCGATACCCAAGAGCTGTACAAGAACATCGGGGACTGCTACCTGCTCTCTGCCCCGGGGCCCCACGTCCTGCTTCTGGTGATCCAGCTGGGGCGTTTCACTGCTCAGGACACAGTGGCCATCAGGAAGGTGAAAGAGGTCTTTGGGACAGGGGCCATGAGACATGTGGTCATCCTCTTCACCCACAAAGAGGACTTAGGGGGCCAGGCCCTGGATGACTATGTAGCAAACACGGACAACTGCAGCCTGAAAGACCTGGTGCGGGAGTGTGAGAGAAGGTACTGTGCCTTCAACAACTGGGGCTCTGTGGAGGAGCAGAGGCAGCAGCAGGCAGAGCTCCTGGCTGTGATTGAGAGGCTGGGGAGGGAGCGAGAGGGCTCCTTCCACAGCAATGACCTCTTCTTGGATGCCCAGCTGCTCCAAAGAACTGGAGCTGGGGCCTGCCAGGAAGACTACAGGCAGTACCAGGCCAAAGTGGAATGGCAGGTGGAGAAGCACAAGCAAGAGCTGAGGGAGAACGAGAGTAACTGGGCATACAAGGCGCTCCTCAGAGTCAAACACTTGATGCTTTTGCATTATGAGATTTTTGTTTTTCTATTGTTGTGCAGCATACTTTTTTTCATTATTTTTCTGTTCATCTTTCATTACATTTAAATCTCTGGACCCTGGAGCACTTCTAATGTATCACCCCATGGAGTCATTGTTCTAATAATCACCAATTCAGACTCAGATCCTCGTGGTCTATGGAGCATGCTGCTTGCTGTCTGTGCAGCTCCCATTTCCCCTTCTTCCTGATAGACTTGGAGCTGTGTGCCTCCACTCCAAGGCTGCCTGCCTGCTGTAAACACTATTCCACTCTGTCTGCCAACAACTGCTTCAGGAATGGGCCTGAGATCCCATGCAGGTCCCTGAGAAGTGAGTAAAAGTCCGCAGAGGTGGGGATGGAAGATCTCTCCTTAGATAGAACCTGTCTTCCTCCCTGGCATTGTGGGGTCTGGGCGTGACACTGGGACTCTCAGCAGCTTTGTGCTGCCAACCTGAGATTGAAGGCAGTGCCTCAGAGCAGCACAGAGAGTTGGGGCCCCCTGAGCCCTGAGCCACCAGCCCTGCAGCCTGCCCTATCTCCGCATTTCCAGTTGTATTAGCCAATAGATTTCCTACTTATTTAAGCTATTTGAGCTCCGGGTCTCTTCTACCTGCATTCTAAAACATTCAAAGTAATAAAAATTTCTCCACATTCCTTTTTATCCTTTAAATCTGTTGGAACTTCCCAGTCCACATGCTTCCTTTGAGCAAGTGGCATCTAGAATAAAGGAACAGGGTTGGCTTTTCTTGTTCCTAAAATTAGGAAGAACCTCCTGCTCCTACTGAAGTGCCTGCCACATAGTGGACATTCCCTGAACTCTGAGTAAAGCAAAACACTTTCAGATGGATGGATTGCATTGACGAATGGGAGTGGGAGAGGGTCAAGGAAATGGGGTGCCCTGTACGCAGGGCTTTCTCTGTGCTTTCTTCTCAGTTTGGCCAGGGGCCCAAAAGAAACACAGCTCACATTTCAATGCTCTGCAAGGAATCACTTTGGCAAATGTTCACACATGAGAAAGGTTAAGCAAACTCTTTCTCCTTCTCCACTGTAAAATGTCCTTGGATCAACTCTCCAGCTCTATTTCTTTGGAAGTCAATGTCCACAGGGTGGGGGTGGGGGACAGGTTGTTGACTGGGTACCAGGCAATCCTGCTCACCATGAAAGCGATTCCTTGTTAGTAGAGGGAGTGTGGACTGGGCGACCCAGGAATGGACCATCCCCACACTGGAAGGAAGCTACTCTGGCAGCGCCGCTCTGTAATGCTTTCTTAAGATCATGGCTATGTCAATCAAGAGTGCCTCCCTGGAGGGAGGGAGAGCCCAGACAACATCTACTGGACCAGTTTCCAGAGGCTTCAAGGTCACCACACTTATATGCAGTCTTTGTCTCCCTTGGCTCAGCCCACTCCTCCTCTGCAGGGCTGCTGCAGTGAAGGGAACCACATTTCAAAGAGTCATCCAGGACAGAGGTGAGTTCCCTCCCGATGTTGCCATCAGAGACCACACCGCAGGACACCTCCTCACCTCTCCCGAATCTGTCCTGTCCATCCCCACTGCTATTGCTGGAGTGCAGGTGCTGATTTCCTCCGAATGTTATCCCTGTCCCCAGGCTTATACTTATACAACCCAGCTGCCACCTGATTTTCCCAAGACACACCAACCTGCTCAGAAGCCTCCAGGGAGGATTCCAGAAGGCACCCTTGAATCCTAAGAATGAGGCCCAGACCCCCCCTCCCCACCCAGCCCCAGTCCCCTGTGCACCCCTCCTCCCATGTGCTGACTCCCATCCCCTTCCTTAATCACGTGTCCCTCAGCCTCCAGTGACTTCCCCAAGAGGCAAGGATGTTCCCAGTCAGCTTAGCATCACCCTGTCTAGGAAGCTGCTGCAGAGCCTGCCGTGGTCTCCTTCTTGCTGACATTGCTTCCAAAAGAAACCTTCTCCTACAGCCCCACTTTTATGTGCTTTCATCCCTCCACCCCACTACCCCTCCTGGGGAGCAGAAGCCTGTTATTTTTTATCTTACACTCCTGGTGCCAGGCATTGACCCTGACCCTCAGTACTCACATCATAAATGTCTGTGAAGCTGGACTGAATTAAGTAAGTCAAGCTCAGTTGGAGCAGTTTGGGAACAATGAATTGAGGAGGTGGTCCTCAGTCTGAGAACTCAGGGTTCCCAGGGTTTGGGGAGCTGGCACACAACATACTCCCTGCACATGTTTGGAATCAGTTCTGTGCCAGACGATGCAGGAGTCAGTGCCATGGAGCCAGACGTGGAGCTTCATTGCCAGCAGCAGTGCTGGAGGATGCTGCTAAGGGGCATCACAGCTGAGCACCTCAGACTCACCCCAGAGTAGTCACTTGCCCATCCAGCCATGGCCTGTCCGGGATGGCTGCAGGTCTCCCTTACCGAACACAAAGAAGAAGGTGTGGTGGAGGGACCCAGGGACTTCCTCTTCATCTGATTACCTGTTTCCACTGAATTCCCGATCTGCCCATACTTGAGCCCCATGTCTGCCTTCTTCTCTTTGCTGCTTGAGATGGGGAACACCACCCTTTCCTCAAATTCCCATGGACATCACACGTCACTGTCCTGGATGGTACTGAGTTTCGGGTTAGAGATATCGCATTGCAGTTCAGCCCAGCCAACAATGGGAAATCAGTGAAACAAATGACAGCCCTCGGCCCAAATCTGGCCCACCACCTGTTTTGTACAGCTGTGAGCTAAGAAGGGTGTTTACATTTCCAAATGGTTGAAAAAATCAGAAGAAAAATAACATTTCATCTTCACACATGAAAACTGCATGAAATTCAGAATTCAGTGCTCATGAAGTTCTAGGGGACACAGCCTTGCACACCACTTACAATCTTATCCATAGTGGCCTTTGTCTATGCGGCAAAGGTGAGATAAGTAGCTGGGACATCTACCATATAGTCTGCTGAGCCCAGGTTTTCTGCTCTCTGGTCTTAAAACTCCTACTCCAGGACATCCCAGGTCCTGCATTTCCCAGCTGCTCTCCTTGCTTTCCCCAAGGCAGGCCCCAGCCGGCCACGGCAACCCCTTGCTCTCTTTCCTTCAAGTCCAGCCCCTTCTCCTCCAGCCTTCTCCATACCTACAGGGTCCCCTGCTTGGTTCAGCAGATGGATCTCACCATCCTTGCTCTCTGAGGTGGGGGCAGGGCATCACCTTTTCAGCCTGCAAATAAATCTGAGCATATCTATGAATAAAGTAAGGAATTCTGCCAGCAGCTTTTCACATAGCACATTTCTCCCCTGGACATCAGGAATGCAGAAAGCAGGGCCCAGGGTGAGACATTCTCAGAGCATCGTAGCCAAGCACCTTTCTTCCTGCAAGCCCCCAAATATTCCATAGCTGTACCCAGCCAGTTTATGATTTACACTCACAACTTAAAAAAAAAATAAAAAAGAACTCGTTTTTCGTTCTTTTTTTCTTTTTTTTTCTTTTTCTTTTTTTTTTTTTTTTTTTGAGACAGAATCTCTGTTGCCCAGGCTGGAGTGCAGTGGCTCGATCTCGGCTCACTACAAACTCCACCTCATGGTTCAACTGATTTTCCAGCTAATTTTTGTATTTTTAGTAGAGACAGGGTTTCACCATGTTGGCCAGGTTGGTCTTGAACTCCTGACCTCAAGTGATCCACCCACTTTGGCCTCCCAAAGTGCTAGGATTACAGGAGTGAGCCACCACACCCAGCCAATATTTTATTTATCTAAAAGCACTGGATGGAAAATTGATGATATGTCTGATGCAAGGAAGATAAATTGGGAGTGAAATTCTGTAAAAAGCAAGCAAAGTGCTGTACACACATAAACAGAGATGGCAACTCTGGGAAAGAAAAAAGGCAGGCTGTAGAAATCACCTAAAATGCTCAGTGTCCACAAGTGATACAAAAGTTCATTAAAATGGTAAGAACAATCAAACCACATGTAATAAAAAGGCAGACATGACAACCTAAGAAAGCATCTAGTGTTTGACGCTGAGGAGCACCTTGCATGGCCAGTTACTCTCATCCTCCCTCAGCTCTCACCTCTGCTTCTCCACCTACTGTTCCACCTTGGCCAGGTACTGCCTGTAGTCTTCTTGGCAGGCCCCAGCCCTGCCTCTCTGGAGCAGCTGGGCATCCAGGAAGAGGTTATTGCTGTAGAAGGAGCCCTCTCGCTCCCTCCCCAGCCTCTCGATCGCAGCCAGGAGCTCTGCCTGCTGCTGCCTCTGCTCCTCCCCGGCAGCCCGGTTGTTGAAGGCACAGTACCTTCTCTCACATTCCTGCACCAGGTCCTTCAGGCTGAGGTTGTCCATGTTTGCTACATAGTCATCCAGGGCCTGGCTCCCTAAGTCCCCTTTGTGGGTGAAGAGGATGACCACATGTCTCATGACCCTGCCCCAAAAACCTCCTTCACCTTCCTGATGGCCACTGTGTCCTGAGCAGTGAAACGCCCAGCTGGATCACCAGAAGCAGCACATGGGGCCCGAGGGCAGAGAGCAGGTAGCAGTCCCCGATGTTCTTGTACAGCTCTTGAGTCTGGACCTTGGACTCAAAGATGGAGAGCGTGTCGACCACCAGGACTTTCCTCCCATTCCATGTTCCTGTCTCCACCTGGCATGTCCTGGTTACTGACTGGGCCCCCAGCTTGCACTCAAACACAGGCTGGCCAAGGATGCTGTTCCCTGTGGTGCTTTTCCCACAGCCTGTTTTGCCCACCAGGAGGATCAGCAGCAGCAGTGATCCTGGAGCCAACCTGCCTTCTCCTCAGCCTGTGAGAGCGGGTGAAGAGTGAGGGTATAAAAACTGCATTCTGAGGAGGAGGTGCCAAAAGACAGAAGGCAAAGGCATCCAGAGGCACTGGCACCCTGGGTCAGTGAGGACCCCATAGCCCCGCTCCCATCACCTGACCCCAAGTACAGAGAATAGAGGGACTCACACAGTGTTTGTGGGATTACCCAGCTGGCCAGAGCTCCAGGGCTCTTTCCCTTTGGGACTGCTGAGCTCTGCCCCTTTCTGGCCTTCCCTCGATGCACTTCCCACCCTGAGGGCCTGGGCTGGGGCTGGCAGGAGGCCGTTTCCTCGGCCACTGCAAGGTCTGTCTCATGTTTTCTTCCTCTCCCATCCCTGGCTCATCTCGATTTTTCACGATCACAGAGTTTTATTTGGAAAATCTTGTCCTCACTGAAAAGAAGATGGCAGCTAACAGCTTAATATGCTGTATTTCTGGGGGGGAAATGTGTTTTCCTTGTCGTAGGTGAATATAGTCTTGTGCCTTTCACTGCCAGGTGGGAAGTTTGCCCCCGAGTTCTGATTCTACAACCCTTGATCTTTGTAAGAACTTCACCAAGTGCAGTTCCCTTGCCTGTGCAGAAGGTACCTTCTCCACCCATTCGAAGCCCTTCTATTTTGTCCTAGAGGGGAAACCATACATGGATTGTTCACACTGGAGGCGGATGTGATATCCAACACAAAGCATCACATTTTACAGATGAGGAAATTGGGGCAAGAAAAGAAAACCCTGCTGAGGTCACACATTACTTAAGGGATGAGCTGAGACTAACACCAGGTCTGCTGACTTCAGATATTCTCAGCAGTAGCCTGGACTTCCTGCTGAAGAACATACAGACAGCCCCAAAATGCACCACATGCTTGCATTTCCCAGCACCTGTATTTAACATACAGACAGCTCCAAAATGCACCACATGCCTACGTTTCCCAGCACCTATTTAACATACAGGCAGCTCCAAAATGCACCACATGCCTGCGTTTCCCAGCACCTGTATTTAGCTAATGGGAGGCAGTGAATGGAAGGCAGGGAAGGCTGATGGATGCTGTCCACTCAGATCAAGAAAGTCAGCAGTTATTTCCAACTGAACATCTGGCTGTCATGGGTTCTTGTCCACTTTTAGGGTCTCAGGGCTGGTACCCAAACTAAAGTGTGCCCGGCAAAGCATCCACTTTCAATAAACTCACAAAAGAAATTCTCCCCTACGTTTCCATGGTGATGGTGGTACAAAGGGTGACCAACCATCCTGGTTGGCCCAGGTCTGAGAGGATTCCCTGATTGAAGGACTTTCAGTGCTGAACTGGGAAAGTCCCAGACACACCAGGATGGGTTGTTTACCCCAAGAGTAGGAGATTGTCATGGGTCCAGGTTAGGGGTGGGGAGTAGGGGCGTGTACATCCAGTAATTGGAGAGAAGAACTGATTTGTCGGGCTCAGATCAATGCCTTATGCTGCAGAGGAGGATGGGTGCTTCCCTATTCCTACCTCAAACAGACTCGGACCTCGCTACCCCAGGGGCACTTCTCATCAAGCCCCCTCACCTCCTTGCATTGTTCCCTCCATACCTTTCCTTCTACCTCCTACGTCCAGTGCTCGGGTAGAAAATCCACCCAGGCCCCACAGAAGAATAACTTCTCAGGCTTCGCTACTATGAAAAACCCATACAACCCATTCCAGAGCAACATGAGGACCTTGCTGTGTGCAAAGTTTCAGTGAGTTGCCTTGTAACAGGCTCAAGGCATTAATGCTAAAAAGTGAGTCTCTAATTGCAGAATTGCAGAGCCTATGCCAGGTCAATTGAAAAAATACTTTTTGGACTGATGTCATGGTGCTTTAGGGGAAGAAGTTGGTGTTCCACGGGGCGTTGGTACTGAAGATGTGGTCCGGGTCACCCCTAGCTCTTTCCTACCCACCCAACTCTCCCGCGCCCACCTTTTCCCTCTCTCCTCTAGCACAATGAAGCATGCAGGCCTGGGTGAAGGAATACCTCCTGACAACTCCGGGAATGATGGCTATGCTAATAATGGGTATAGTGCCCGTGAAGAAGAAAATGAGACACTCACTGAAAATCTGAGAAGCAAAGTAACTGCTATAAAATCTTTTTCCATTGAAATAGGCCATGAAGTTAAAACCCAAAATAAATTATTAGCTGTAATGGATTCACAATTTGATTCTACAACTGGATTTCTAGGTAAAACTATGGGCAAACTGGAGATTTTATCCATAAGGAGCCAAACAAAGCTGCTGTGCTCTGCAATGCTGTTTCATTTATTTGTCTTTTTTTTGTCATTTATTGGATTAGTAAACTGAGGTGATGCAAGTAATTGTGAAGTTGGAATTTGTTCCAACTTAATGGCTTGGTGTACAACTTTGATAAAAATCGGCACCAAAACATTCCTAGTTTTCAAACGCTATGGCATTTTCCATTGAAAATTGCTGCATTTTGCTTGTTTTATAAATCACATTAGATAATACAGTGCTCTTTGAATATTGTCTGTTTTTTATTTTTCTTTTTAAGTTCTGAGGTACATGTGCAGGATGTGCAGGTTTGTTACATGGGTAAATGTGTGCCATGGTGGTTTGCTGAACCTATCAACCCATCACCATGCCGCTTAATAGCCCGGCATGAATTAGCTATTCTTCTTGATGCTCTCCCTCCCCCCACCCCACCCTCCCCTGACAGGCCCCAGTGTGTGTTAGTCCCCTCCCTATGTCTGTGTGTTCTCATTGTTCAGCTCCCACTTACAAGTGAGAACATGTGGTGTTTGGTTTTCTGTTCCTGCATTAGTTTGCTGAAGATAATGGCTTCCAGCTTCATCCATATACCTGCAAAGGACACGATCTAATTGCTTTTTATGACTGCATAGTATTCCATGGTGTATATGTACCACGTTTTCTTTATCCAGTCTATCATTGATCAGCTTTTGGGTTGATTGAATACTGTTTCTTGATGACTCATTTTGCCCCCTGTCTTCAGGGGCAATGAGACTGTATGGCTCCACCAATTTCCAAGTTGCTTTTCTATTGTTTGCTAACTGTCAGATTAAATAGCATTGTCATGTTCTGTTGTTATCATAAATGTAGGTTTATGTCCCATGTAAGGAAACTTCTAGTGAGAGAGTAACAGAATGCCTGAAGAGCCTGACTGTAGTTCTAGAAGTAGTCAACCAGTCTGTGATAGAATGGTAACTGAATTTTCCTAACTGCATCAACTGTGATGATGTACTCCTGTTTCCTCCTTTATTTAGTTAAAATCATAGACTGATTTCTTTTTACCTATAATCTTACTAATAATTTTTGATGATAGTGACCCATCACTTCTCTCTGCCCAAAGAACTCATTCTTTAAGTAATGCTTGTTATGTTGGCATAGTTCTAATAGGGACCAATGCACATGTGTATCCGTATAGTTATTGTTTTATATTAACTTTATAAATTCTGTTGACTTGGCTTATAATAGTTTTATGATTTTTACTATATCGGTAGGACTATATATATATTATCATTTGTGACAGAATAATGTGAAGTTAAGTAATTACTAAACTCTAAATGGAAATAGTATTCAAGAAACTCAAGCACTGAACTTGAATATAAGAGTATTGTTGCTTTAATCCAGTGTATTTGTTTATGGAAAGAAAAACACAAAGGCAGACTCGAATAAAAAGGAACATTAAAATATTCTTTAAAACTCTGTATTACTACTATTTTGGAATTTACCCGTTTATAGGCTCCAAAAATAAATTTTCAAATAAAATATTTTTATGAAGAAAAAAGTTTTTGGAATAAATGGATTTTCTAATGTTCCTTGGGATCATGCTACATAAGATGGTATCTAGCTCCCTGCCCCCCAACAGAGACACAGTTAAATTGGCCAGTGATTACTTTAGCAGGGAAAATAAATTAATAAATAAATAATTTTGGAAACATTTTCATGTAAGTACTAAATGTCAAAACTCACTTTCTATGAGGTAACTATTTAGTAATTTCTTTGTAAGTGGCTCTGAGGATATTTTTAGCACCAGTACTGCCTCCTAGAATCTCTCTGTTCTTTAGCCAGGTCCCAAGGAAGCTAATCTAATCTGGTTGCAAAGTCTGTCCCACAGTACGCACAATTCAAATAAGAGTTATCCACCCACAGCTCTGGTGACACAACTCAAGCCTTGCTTTTACACCCAAGCAAGTGCTGATGTTTTGGATAGAAACCAAAGCACTTTCTGTCATCCTGCAATCCGTGAGAGGGCCCTTCAAACTGAGTGTGATGGTCATTCTTATGTGTCACTTAGCAAGGCCATAGTACCCAATGATCTAACCAAACACTAATCCAGGTGTTGCTGTGAGGGTATTTTGCAGATGTGGTTAATGTGAAGTAACAATTACCTTCCAGAACATAGAGGGAAATCATCCAGGCAGTTGAAAGTCTTAAGACAATAACCGATTTCCCAGAAAAGGAATTCCACCTCAAGACTGCAGTGTCTACTCCTGGCTGAGTGTCCAGCCTGCCCACCTGTACTACAGATTTTGGACATACCAGACCCCGAAATCACATGAGCCAATTTCTAGATATAAATCTCTTAATAGATATATATCTCTTAATAGATATATTCTGTTTCCCTGGAGAAACCTGGCCAATAGTCAAAACTGATTATTGCTACTGATACTCAGAGAAAGAGCAAACCTGAACATAAATCTCATCTTTTTGGCCAGGCGCAGTGGCTCATGCCTGTAATCCCAGCATTTTGGGAGGCCGAGGTGGGTGGATCACCTGAAGACAGGAGATCGAGACCAGCCTGGCCAACATGGTGAAACCCTTTCTCTACTAAAAATACAAAAATTACCCAGGTATGGTGGCGCATGCCTGTAATCCCAGCTACTCAGGAGGCTGAGGTGGGAGAATCGCTTGAACCCAGGAGGCGGAGTTTGCAGTGAGCCGAGATTGCACCACTGCACTCCAGCCTGGGTGACACAGTGAGACTCTGTCTCAAAAAAAAAAAAAAAAAAAAACTCATCTTTCCAAGGATGATTCTTTTCTTTTCAAGAATGATATTGGGGTGGACATTTTTTAAAGATGTGATTGCATGAGGGGGAAGGCAAATGGGAAAACCAACCATTTTTTCACTCCATCTTGCTGCAATGCTGATGGTTTAGAACTCAAGACTCTCTGTTTTCTCATGTGCTGCCCCTGGATTGTCTTGAACGGTGGTCTCCACAGGAGCCGGTAAGGAGGGGCTCCTGAGCATCAGAGGAAAACAGGTGGCACTGGTAGGTGCCTGGAAAGGTGTGTGAGGAGAAGATAAGGCGATGCTGAAAGAGCTGCAGAGGGGTAGGTGGACTTGGAAGCGGATATTCCTACACTGGGGGAGGCCAGGGACCTGGCAAACTTGGCGGTCTTGTAATACCATCTACCCCTTTTAACTACCAGGGAACTAAGATTTCCAGGGTTTCCTAAAGCAGCAGTGACATGAGGCCAAGTCTGCACCCGAGATTGAGGGGGTGAAAGGATATTAAAGGGAGAAGGCAGCTTTTTCAGGTGTTTCAGGGCAAACTGAGTGCCTGTAGGGCCTGAATCTGTGGCTGCCCCTGTGTGCTGAGAGGGATCAGCCCTCCGGGAAAACATGCAGCAAAGCTATTCACGTGCTGTGTTTGGCCAAGAGATTGGTGGCGGGCCATTTCCTCCGAGAAGGAGAACCTGAAATTGCTACTGTCTCGGAATCCAGCCTGAACAGAAAGAGAAGTGAAAAGGGTGCTTCTCAGAAACATCAGGATTGTTCTCATTTGCCTCAATTATTTTATTGAGGAGTTTTTCCTCTCCAGTCACAGTGCTATCCCTCTAGCCCAAACCACCACTACAGAGAACCCCACCCAAGTGCCACACCAGCCCTCTGGACAGCACTATCATCGCTCCCCTCCAAAAAAAAAAAAAAAAAGCCTATTCTGGGCTGGCCATCAACTCACCTCACTCATCTTATATCCATCAATCCTTCCATTAATTCATTTTAAAATGGTATTAAATGTCTCACACATGGAATATGGTTGGACCAGTTTAACCTGTCCAGGCACAGTGGCTAATGCCTGTAATCCCAGCACTTTAGGAGGGAGGCCGAGACTGGAGGATCACCTGAGCCCAGGAGTTCAAGACCAGCCCTGGCCACATGGTAAAACCCCATCTCTACCAAAAAAAAAAAAAAAAATTAGCCTGGCACAGTGGTTCATGCCTATAGTCTCAGCGACTAAGGAGGCTGATGTAGGAGGATCACTTGAACCCAGGAGGCCAAAGTTGCAGTGAGTCATGATTGTGTCACTGCACTCCAGCCTGGGTGACAGAGTGAGACCCTGTCTCAAAAAGAAAGAAAGAAAAAGAAAGGAAGGAAGGAAGGAAGGAGGGAAGGAAAGGAAGGAAGGAAGGAAGGAAGGAAGGAAGGAAGGAAGGAAGGAAGGAAGGAAGGAAGGAAGGGGAGCAGCTCATGCCTCAAACTGGGAGAGCATCATCTCTAAGCTAATGAGAGTAAAGAATGGTTCCCTCCACTATGAGGGACATGGTGGAGAAGGGGAAGGTGGAGACCCCCACTGGAAAAACTGTGAAATGCTCTGAAACTAGTGGTTGACCTTGGACAGATTATCTTACTCTCATTTGCCAAAAGTAGCAATAATATTCTCTCTACTTCCCTCACTGGAGTTTCCAAAAGATAAATGGCATGCTGATTAGAAAAACATAACGTGCAGTTGTGAGGATCTGCCAGTTAGAGGGTTATGAGTCAGGGTAACTGCCTAGTAATAAAGCCCTTGCCATCTATGACTTCATTCTTGTGGACAGTGGAGTTTTAACTACTTCTATATATATATATAAACCACACTAAGCCAAGAATTTACTAACAGGGAAAATTATTGGGGCAAAAGGTGAGGAGTATAGGGGAACTCTCAGTATTTTTCATTCCCATTTTTCTGTAACTCTAAAACTGCTTTGAAAAATATATACATAAACGTAACTGTATATATATACATACAGTTATATATATATTTATATATTATATATTTATATATATTATATATACATATATATATAATATATATATATATATATATATATATATAACTGCAGATCATCTTGAGTCCTATTCCTGAAATCTTTCTCCCCTCTTTAAGATGGAAACTACTTCCATCAAGTGGAGTGGTATAGTCAACAACAAAAGGCAATGGGAATAAAATGAGATTGAAATCAAAAGATGAATTTTCAGCCTGTCCTTCAAAGACTATCCCCTACCTTCTGTGGAAGACCAGGGTGGGGGAAGGATGTTCAGGTGATCTTTCCTTGCCCTGCAATTTGTGGGGAAGCCATATGTGTACCCACATAGAGGGTGCAGCAGCCACTATGTGCATATATGAAAATGCTCTTGCACAAACACAAGAAATGAGCTCATCAGTATCACCATAGGGGTACCATCTGAGCTCATTCTATTCCAGACTTTAGGTTCTTAAAAATATAATATCAGTCATATTTTCAGTTAGCACATATCTGGGACTTTAGGGTATATGATTTTTTCTCCTAATTCAGGAATAAAGAAACTGAGGTTTAGAAAGATCAAGTGTCTTGTCCACGCTGGCACAGACTGTTACTGGTAGAACTGGGGGGTCGGGGTGGGGGAGAGAAGAGAAAATGAAAGAAAACAAAACAAGCCTTGTTATCTGCCAGGTCCTGGAATTTCTTGCAAGGTCTACAGATGGCCTAGGAGCAACCCTCCCTCTCCTAGGCAGTCTCTCTCACTGTCTTATAGGCTCTTTATAAAAACACAAGAGCAATGAGACATGATGAACCTGGCCACAAATTTGGTCTGCTAGAGAGAGAGAGAGAGAGAGAGAGAGGGACCATATCCCTGGGGACAGGAAAATAACAATGTGTGTGGGTTTCCGTACAAAGCCGCCCTCAGAGGGTGACTCAAGGCCCTGAGAGACAGCCAGGGTAAGAAGCTGTTTGTAAAACAGCTCTGCTTCCTTTTTCCCACCACACCTCTGTGATGCTTTTGTGCAAAACAAACTTTTTACCAGAATTAGCAGGAGCACTGAGACCCGGAAAAGCCACTAAACATCTGAATATGGCTGCATCCCAGGGAAGGCCAACAGCTGCCTGTTACTGGCCCAGGCTGGACATATACACATCTCCCAGCCACCATCTGCAGTGCGCCATAAAGAGAGTTTCTTATTTTTGTTGTTTTTTTTTTTGAGAAATGGGGTCTCCCTATGTTGCCCAGGCTAGTCTTGAACTCCTGAGCTCAAGTGATACACCTGCTTCAGCCTCCCAAAGTGCTGGGATTATAGGCATGAGCCTGGCCAAGAGAGTTTCCTATATTGAATTCTAGATGGCAGTGAGGACTGAACCCAAGGGCACTCTCCAGGTTCCACTGCACAAGGAGCAGGCATCTTTCTTGAAACATTTTATGGCTCCCTCTTACTTCTGCCAAATGCCCTGCCCTCAGGTTACCTGTGCTCTGACCTGAGGGGGAGGCAAGGCTTAGGAGATTTCCCCACCCAGGAGGATTTCATTTCCGCAGGGACCAGGAAGACATCTGACCCCATTCATGATGTGATTTAGCCAAAGTGACAAGCCCTTGACAAGTTAACAAGGGGCTCGGGAGAAGGGAAGAGGGTGGCCCCGGTCATGCTGGGAGCCTCTGTGTTGTGGTGGTGGGTGCAGGGGGAGTGGGCAGAGCTCCTCTCTGGGGACTTTCTCAGGTGAATGAGGCAGAGCTTGATCAGTTACTTGCACATTTGCATTTAGATGGATTCAGTTTTTAAAGAAATTATAAGCCAGAGAGTGAGATACAGGTGACTCCTGATTCTTTGATTTAGTTTGGAGAGGAGGGCGGTTCTAACGCAGATAACATATACAGTTCGCACTTTGCAATGAAAGCCAGATTTGACTTCCAAAATATTCTCTCATATTAATATTGTAATGTTCACTTTTCATATAATAACAGTTATAACTTTCCCTCTCTAAAAGTCTGTAGAATTATGGTGGTTTCATTTCAAAATGTGTTTTCCTAACAGTGAGATGTAAATAGAAATCTGGTAATTCCTAACAGGACTAAATTCTTATAAGATTTTTTGGACAAATCTAAAGGGAATCACTGATATGTCTCTCTCCTACCACAGACATGCAGGTAATAAAATAAAATAGTCAAAGAGTTTGAGAATCTTATCTCCTTTAAGTTCACAGTGTGCTAAGTAAAATAGAACTGTCAACTGTGGTCACATATCTTGCAAATACCACCCCCTGCTGTTTGTCTCTTAAGTTTGCTATGGTGAGTTTTTTGCTGTCTGGAAATTTGAACAAATGTTTTCTTTATGGCGCTGTCATTCTTAGAAAGCTCTCCTTTTTTGTCCCATTATTTAAAAATATATTACTTATGTCCACACAAAAATCTGCACACAAAGGTTTATAGCAGCTTTATTCATAATTGTCAAAACTTAGAAACAACCAAGATATCTTTCAATAGGTGGATGGATAAATAAAGTGTAGCACATCTAGACCATGGAATCTTATTCATTCAAAAAGTAACTGGGCTAACAAGTCATGAGAAAGCATAAAGAAAACTTACATGCATATTGCTAAGTGAACTAAGCCAATCTGAAAAGGCTATATACTGTATGATTCCAACTAAATGGTATTCTGTAAAAGGCAAAATGATGGAGACAGTAAACCAATCAGTGGTTGCTGGCGGTTCCAGGTGATGGAGGGAGAGATGGATAGGTGGAATATAGGGAATTGTTAGGGTAGTGAAACTATTCTGTGTGATACTATAATGGTAGATACATGTCACTACACATTCATCAAAGTCCATAGAATATACAACACCAAGGCTGAATCTTAATGTAAACTATGAACTTTAATTAATAATAATTTATCAATATTGGCCCATCAATTACAACAAATGTATCACACTAATGCAAGATGTTACTAATAGGGGGAATTGCTAGGGCAGACGGTGAGGAGTATAGGGGAACTCTCAGTATTTATCATTCCCATTTTTCTGTAAACCTCAAACTGCTTTTTAAAACAAAACCTATTAATTTTAAAAAGGGGGAGATTAAAGAAGATAAGATGAGGAAAGAGTGAGTAAAAGAAGGTGGGATAGGGAGAGAGGAGTTGAGAAGGGATGAGAAGAGGAGAGAGTGGGAAAGAGGGGAAGAGGAAAACAGGGAGGAGAGGGGTAGGAGGGAAGAACAAGGGTCACTTGCACACGGTAAACTCCTTACCCTATAAGAACTTATTATACAACACATTGGAGAGACAGCCAAGATAACTAAGTTGTCATTAGATTAAAATTATATGAATAATATGAAGGTGTGAAGTGAGTCTTATATAACAAAAGCCTTATATTAACCCAAGATGTAGATCATCTTTTATACTGCTACTCTGTACGACTTTTATGGTTCGTAATAAATGCTTTTATTTTTCATGATTCACCTAACAATATTTTCTTTATCTAGCTACTTTTTGTTTTTTGTTTGTTTGTTTGTTGTTTTGTTTTTGAGACGGAGTCTCGCTCTGTCACCAGGCTGGAGTGCAGTGGCACTATCTTGGCTCACTGCAACCTCTGCCTCCCAGGTTCAAGCAATTCTCCTGCCTCAGCCTCCCGAGTAGGTAGGCGCCACCACACCCAGCTAATTTTTGTATTTTTAGTGGAGACGGGGTTTCACCATGTTGGCCAGGATGATCTTGATCTCCTGACCTCGTGATCTGCCCGCCTTGGCCTCCCAAAGTGCTGGGATTACAGACATGATCCACCGCACCCGGCCCTTGTTTTGTTTTAAGCCTGCTTTGGCTTATCTGTATCTCTCAGTTAATTCCCAGGATGGATGGATAGATAGATAGATAGATAGATAGATAGATAGATAGATAGATAGATAGATAGATTCATAGATAGATAGATAGATGATAGAATACAGATATTAATATCTAATAATATAGAGATCTATAGGCTAATAATTGTATATAATATGTATAATATATGTAATAGCAGAGAAGTGGGACTATGATAATTTGAGGCCTTAAACTATCTGTGAATATATACAATGTTATTTAATGATACACTCTAATTAATTAAAAACATATAACTCCTGTACCAAGGACTAAACTTTTTTTAAAGGGTGAACAAATAATAAGTCAATAGAGGAGATGAAATAGAATCATAATTCCAGTAAATGCTCAATTACCTCAAGAGAAGGCAGGAAAAAATAAAGGACAGATGGATTAAATAAAAAATAGCTAAGAAAATGGTAGATTTTAATTCAGTTATATAATAACACGAAATGTGAATGATCAAAATATACCAATTAAAAGACAGAAATTTCCAGATATGATTTAAAAACAAGACCTATGTATATGCTGCCTTAAGAAAAAGTCACTTTAAAAACAAAGACATAAATATGTTACAAATAAAAGAATATTAAAAATGTATACCATCAAACAATATCCAAAAGAAAGCTGGAATAGCTATATTCATGTTAAAAAAAAAAGAAGCTTTATCAAGTTGAATGATGAAGAAAAAGGTGAAATTTTAAAAAAATAAAAAATAAAAATAAATAAAAATTTTTTAAAACTTCAGAACAAAGAGTATTATCAAAGGTAAAAAGAAATACTACATAATGATAAAAATGCCAATTTACCAAAGTAACATAACAATCCTAAATGTATATGAACTTAACAAAAGAGCTTCAAAACTCTTAAAGAAAAATTGAAAGAACCAAAAGCTGATATAGATGAATATCTACATTACAGTTGGAGATTTTAACACATCTCTCTCAGTAATGGATAGAACAAGTAGCTAGAAGATCATTAAGTATGTAGATGACTTGACCACTATCAACCAATTTGACCTATTGACACTATTGACCTAATGACACTATTGACCTATTGACACTTGACCTATAGCATACTTCGATCAACAACAGAACACACATTCTTCTCAAATGCACATGGAGCATTCACCAAAATAGACCATATTCTGAGCCATGAAACAAACCTTAACAAATCTAAAACAATAGAAATTACATAAAGTATATTTTTACACCAAAATGGAATTAAATTCAAAATAAATAACAGAAAGAATCTAGAAATTGTCCAAAGATTTGAAAATTAAACACATACTTGAAAATAACCCTTGGGTACAAGAAACCTCAAGGCAAATTTCATTTTATTATACTTTAAGTTCTAGGGTACGTGTGCACAACGTGCAGGTTTGTTATATATGTATACATGTGCCATGTTGGTGTGCTACACCCATTAACTCGTCATTTACATTAGGTATATCTCCTAATGCTATCCCTCTCCCCTCCTCCCACCCCACAACAGGCCCTGGTGTGTGATGTTCCCCTTCCTGTGTCCAACTGTTCTCATTGTTCAATTCCCACCTATGAGTGAGAACATGCAGTGTTTGGTTTTTTGTCTTTGCGATAGTTTGCTGAGAATGATGGTTTCCAGCATCATCCATGTCCCTGCAAAGGACATGAACGCATCCTTTTTTATGGCTGCATAGTATTCCATGGTGTATATGTGCCACATTTTCTTAATCCAGTCTATCATAGATGAACATTCCGGTTGGTTCCAAGTGTTTGCTGTTGTGAATAGTGCCGCGATAAACATACGTGTGCATGTGTCTTTATAGTAGCATGCTTTATAATCCTTTGGGTATATAACCAGTAATGGGATGACTGGGTCAAATGGTATTTCTAGTTCTAGATCCCTGAGGAATCACCACACTGTCTTCCACAATGGTTGAACTAGTTTACAGTCCCACCAACAGTGTAAAAGTGTTCCTATTTCTCCACATCCTCTCCAGCACCTGTTGTTTCCTGACTTTTTAATGATCGCCTTTCTAACTGGTGTGAGATGGTATCTCATTGTGGTTTTGATATGCATTTCTCTGATGACCAGTGATGATGAGCATTTTTTTATGTGTCTGTCAGCTGCATAAATGTCTTCTTTTGAGAAGTGTCTGTTCATATCCTTCACCCACTTTTTGATGGGGTTGTTTGTTTTTTTCTTGTAAATTTGTTTGAGTTCTTTGTAGATTCTGGATATTAGCCCTTTGTCAGATGAGTAGATTGCAAAAATTTTCTCCCATTCTATAGGTTGCCTGTTCACTCTGATGGTAGTTTCTTTTGCTGTGCAGAAGCTCTTTAGTTTAATTAGACCCCATTTGTCAATTTTGGCTTCTGTTGCCATTGCTTTTGGTGTTTTAGACATGAAATCCTTGCCCATGCCTATGTACTGAATGGTATTGCCTAGGTTTTCTTCTAGGGTTTTTATGGTTTTAGGTCTAACATGTAAGTCTTTAATCCATCTTGAATTAATTTTTGTATAAGGTGTAAGGAAGGGATCCAGTTTCAGCTTTCTACATATGGCTAGCCAGTTTTCCCAGCACCATTTATTAAATAGGGAATCCTTTCCCCATTGCTTGTTTTTGTCAGGTTTGTCAAAGATCAGATGGTTGTAGATGTGATATTATTTGTGAGGACTCTGTTCTGTTCCATTGGTCTATATCTCTGCTTTGTACAAGTACCATGCTGTTTTGGTTACTGTAGCCTTGTAGTATAGTTTGAAGTCAGGTAGCGTGGTGCCTCCAGCTTTGTTCTTTTGGCTTAGGATTGACTTGGCAATGCGGCCTCTTTTTCGGTTCCATATGAACTTTAAAGTAGTTTTTTCCAATTCTGTGAAGAAAGTCATTGGTAGCTTGATGGAGATGGCATTGAATCTATAAATTACCTTGGGCAGTATGGCCACTTTCATGATACTGATTCTTCCTATCCATGAGCATTTGTTTGTGCCCTCTTTTATTTCATTGAGTACCAAAGCCTGGCAGAGACACAACAAAAAAAGAGAATTTTAGACCAATATCCCTGATGAACATCGATGCAAAAATCCTCAGTAAAACTGGCAAACTGAATCCAGCAGCACATCAAAGAGCTTATCCACCATGATCCAGTGGGCTTCATCCCTGGAATGCAAGGCTGGTTCAACATACTCAAATCAATAAACATAATCCACCATATAAACAGAACCAAAGACAAAAACCACATGATTGTCTCAATAGATGCAGAAAAGGCCTTTGACAAAATTCAACACCTTCATGCTAAAAACTCTCAATAAATTTGGTATTGATGAGATGTATCTCAAAATAATAAGAGCTATTTATGACAAACCCACAGCCAATATCATACTGAATGGGCAAAAACTGGAAGCATTCCCTTTGAAAACTGGCACAAGATAGGGATGCCCTCTCTCCCTCTCTCACCACTCTTATTCAACATAGTGTTGGAAGTTCTGGCCAGGGCAATCAGGCAGGAGAAAGAAATAAAGGGTATTCAATTAGGAAAAGAGGAAGTCAAATTGTCCCTGTTTGCAGATGACATGATTGTACATTTAGAAAACCCCATCGTCTCAGCCCAAAATCTCTTTAAGCTGATAAGCAACTTCAGCAAAGTCTCAGGATACAAAATCAATGTGCAAAAATCACAAGCATTCTTATACACCAATAACAGACAAACAGTGAGCCAAATCATGAGTGAACTTCCATTCACAATTGCTTCAAAGAGAATAAAATACCTAGGAATCCAACTTACAAGGGATGTGAAGGACCTCTTCAAGGAGAACTTCAAGGCAAATTTTAAAAATATGTTTAAATAAGTTGATATAAAATGCCAGCAAATCAAAATTTATGGAAGAAAGCTAAAGGAGAGCTTAAAGGAAAAATTATAACATTAAATGCTTATACCAGAAAAGAAGAAAAACCTCAAAAAATTAATTGCTGCATTCACCTTAATAAACTAGAGAAAGAAGAGTAACGTAAACCCAAAGCAAGCAGAAAGGGGAGAAAAGATAAGAACAAAGTTATGAAATTAAAAACAGAAAAAAATAGTAGAGAAAAATAATAGAATCTCAAAACTGGATCCTTGAAAAGGTTAACAAAATTAATGGGTACTATCCTCACTACCAAGGTGATGGGATCCATACCCTAAATCTCAGCATCATGCAATATACCCATGTAACGAACCTGCACATGTACCTCCTGTATCTAAAATAAAAGTTAAAAAAATTAATAAACCTCAAAAAATGGTTTATCAAGATAAACTTCTCTCCAAAGAAGATATTCAAATGACCAATAAGCACATGAAAGATATTCAATATCACTAGCTATTAACAAAATGCAAATCAAAACCACAATGAAATATCACTTCACACCCATTAGGTTGGTATTATCAACACACATGCACACACAAAAAAATAAAAAAAAATAGCAAGTGTCAGCAAGGATGTGAGAGAAATTGGAGCTCTTGTGCATTGCTGGTGGGAGTGTAAAATGGTGCAGCTGCTGTGGAAACGATATGATGATTCCTCAAAAAAATTAAACATAATTACCTGTGATCCAGCAATTCCACTTCTGGGTATACACCCAAAAGAAGTGAAAGCAGAGACTTGAACACATATTTGTACACTGTGTCCATAGCTGCGTTATTCACAATAGCCAAAAGGTGGGAGCAACCCAAGTGTCCATTGACACATGAATGAATAAACAAACATGATATATTCATACAATGGAATATTATTCAGCCTTTTAAAATAAGGAAATCCTGACTCATGCCATCACCTTCAATGGCAAAAACTCTGATTACTTTTGCACCAAAAGTACACTTCTTTAAGGAGTCCTGGTTCCTTTCATTGGGGAATGGCAGTATAGCAGTTTCTTATAAATGGAAAATAGTTTTGCAATTTCTTATAAAGTTAAACATGCACTTACCATGTGACCCAACAATCCCACTCCAAGGTATTGACCTAAGTTAACTGAAACCTTATGCTGACAGAAAAACCTGTACCTGATTTTTTTTTTTTTTTTTGAGATGGAGTCTCACAGGCTGGAGTGCAGTGATGCTATTTCAGCTCACTGCAACCTCCGCCTCCTGGGTTCAAGTGATTCTCCTGCCTCAGCCTCCCGAGTAGCTGGGATTACAGGCATGCACCACCACGCCAGGTGAATTTTTGTATGTTTAGTGGAGAAAGGATTTTGCCATGTTTGCCAGGCTGGTCTTGAACCCCTGACATCAGTTGATCCTCTTGCCTCAGCCTCCCAAAGTACTGGGATTATAAGCGTGAGCCACTGTGCCTGGCCCTGAATGTTTATAGCAGCTTTATTCATTACCAAAGCTAGAAATAGTTCAGCTGTCTTTCACAGATGAAAGGGTAAGTAAGTCTGTGTATATCCAGACAATGGGATACCATTCAGCAATAAAAAGTATCAACCCACAACACATGAATGAATCTGAAATTCTTTTTGCTAAATGAGAGAAAATCCAAAATGTTACATACTGAATGATTCTATTTATATGGCATTCTGGAAAAAGCAAAATTATAAAAATAGAAAACAAATCCGTGGTTGCCTGGAGTTGGGGGAGTCCTATGAAATGATGCCCCACTAAAGGGCCTCATTAGGAAACTTTTGGGCAGTCCAATTGTTCTGAGTTAAACTGTCTTGTTGTACACGTGACTCTATGCCTTTCTCAATCCCATAAACCTATACACCACAAAGGGTAAACTTTGCTGTATACAAATTTTTAAAAAATCAACTGAGATCTTGGGGAAATCCAAGATGAAAAGCGGACTGCTAAAATGAATCTAACCGTATTACAAATAAAAAAACATAACCATACGGAAGTTAGGAGGGAAGAAACGAGCTGACCTAAGTGCCTTTGTAAAGCAATGTTTTGACTGGAGAGTGTCAGGCCAAAGACAAGAAGAACAGTACAGAAGCAACAAACTCTCATTGGTAAATTCGTTTTTCACAAACAACCCTAAACCTATGGTATACTTGGGCTCAAAAATAATTAAATATAGTGTAAGCTATGGGATCCACTTTTCTCATTGTCAGAAAGAAGTTACAAATAAGCAGAGATAATGCTAGAATAAATCCTGGTGCTGGACTGGAGTTAGAAATATCAGTATGAACTCATGGTTGATTTATTTTTAGTAGATACAAAAATATAATATGTGTGCATATATGGGTCAGTTATACATACATGAATTACCTAGCTCTGCCCACTGAGAGAGAGGAGACTATGAGCAGTGACACCAGTAGCAATGAGCACAGCCAGCACTCAGATCTTGATTTCGAAATGCCGTTCCCTGATGAAAGGAACCAGGACTCCTTCAAGAAGTGTAGAAGTGGCTGATTCCAGGGCTAGGATAGGGAAAATAAATATAAGATGAGCCTGGAACACCTTATAGTGCCAGAAAGTAAAGAAGTGAAAACAGGATAAAGCATGTGAAAAATGCAGAAGAGGAGGCAAAAATTTGCCCCTCCTCTTTTATGGTTTTGTTGTTGTTGTTGTTGGGGGTTTTTTGTTTTTGTTTTGTTTTCTTGTTTGTTTGTTTGTTGCCTGGGCCTGGAGAATTAAATAGACATAAGACAAATCAACAGGAGAAAAGTATATAAATTATTTAATGCAAGTTTTTTAATGGCAGGAGAGCATTCATAAGGAAATGAAGACACAAAGCAGCAGCTAGAGTCAAACATTTATGCCCTGAATTGTGAAAATGTAACAAGGCAAAGGGGCTTATGCTAGGGTAAATAACTGGGTAAATAAGTAATTAGGAACATAAGGGATGCTTGTATAGATTCCTATCAGCCTCAACTTCCTATCCTTTGTGATGAGAATGTTACTTTCTTCTTGGTTTAGGGAGAACACCTTTCACATGGGAATTTCATCTCTGGCTTTTAAAGAACAGTGAAGGTCAGAGTGATCTTCTTGCATCTCCTGTTTTTATGTGCCTTTAGTTTAAAATAATTCTGATGCCAAAGTGGCATATTTGGGGATGATGTGTTCTGAGTGACATGTTTTGGGGTAGTGTATTCTGAGCCTCTTCATTCCCCATTTGAAACTTTACTTTTAGAAAGTTTCATATGTTAAAAGCCAAGTTAGTAGCTGTGAGCAGATTTGGGTTGGAAGTTGTGAAACAAGAGATCAACGAAGGGAAAGAAAAACAAGGATCGGAACACACAGAAGAACAAATATTCCCCGTATCTTATTGACACAGCCTTTTAGTCCTGAGAACAGTTCAGTTGAACAGTTGCGTCTCATTTTAGGAGGCCGTGTTGCAGTTGGGCTTCCATCCAAGTTGAGACTTCATAATGTAAACAATAAGAGGCATTTCTTTTTTTTTTTTTTTTTTTTTTTTTTTTTTTTTTTTTTTTTTGAGATGGAGTCTCGCTCTGTCGCCCAGGCTGGAGTGCAGTGGCGCGATCTCGGCTCACTGCAAGCTCCGCCTCCCGGGTTCACGCCATTCTCCTGCCTCAGCCTCCCGCGTAGCTGGGACTACAGGCGCCCGCCACCACGCCAGGCTAATTTTTTTGTGTTTTTTAGTAGAGACGGGGTTTCACTGTGTTAGCGAGGATGGTCTCGATCTCCTGACCTCGTGATCCGCCCGCCTCGGCCTCCCAAAGTGCTGGGATTACAGGCGTGAGCCACCGCGCCCAGCCCAATAAGAGGCATTTCTATGGAAACAAAAGAAAAATAAAGGTTAATGTTTAGGGCAAGTTATAAGCCCAGCTTTTGAGTCCAGAGGGCAATCAGTTGGTAAAGGGTACTATAGGTTGGGCTCAAAGCATCTTTAGATAGAGAGTGAAGATAAGCAGTGGTAATTCTGATCAATTTCCTGATTTGCAGTTTGAATGTCTCTGGTGAGGTCATTGGGTGTTCCAGTGGACTTTCTGAGTGGCCTACACAGCAACAGGCACAAAGGTTGCTTATATATTAGTTGTGGTAGTGAGTTCTCTGAAGTTTATATCAAGTCATCCAGTTTCAGCTTGCAAAATTTCAGGAAAAGGGCAGCTTCAGTTTTCAGTGATGTCAAGTCAAGAGAGTAGGAGAAAAACATGAAGCATTAGCCTGAAGATTTGTTGCCGGATATGGGAGGAAATTAGAGTTTAATATCTAATCCATTCTACATATAGATAACAAAACTTCAAAGACAATGAACAGTACTAGAATCCAATAACGGGTACACTATAGTTTTTGTTAATATAATTTTTCTCTCCACAGTCACTCCCACTTTTACCAAACATAATCACAGTAAGACTAATTTTTTTACAAAATAAGTCTAGTCACATTAAACTTGTCTTGATTATTTATATAATGCAGCAAGAATAGTGATTGATCGTATAGGCTCTTTTTAAGTCTGCTTTGCTGGAACTGCTAATAAGGAATCTAAAAGCCTCTCAAGTCTAGGAAGCCAAGCCAAGAGCTTGTCATTAGATTTTGCCTGTAACACCTCTAGATTTGGGTGAGTTCCTCTGTTCTCGAGGTCTCCAAAATATTTTTAAGGCTCCTGGGCCTGCATGAAAGTTACCTTCTTTACTCAACTATAAGGCTAGGAACTCTGTGAGCAAGGTACCAGGCTGGGGGTTTTTTAAGGGGCCTTATTCGCCCCACAAAGTCATCCTTAGTTTCTTAAAACTGTGTAGTCATATCTGATTCTATGACATTCTAAAAATTACATTCCAAAGCTTTGGTAATGTAACCAATGTTTTCCATTGTGTCCTGTTACAAACAGATAGATTCTTATTGGACCTATACAAACAACTATGGTCATGAATGTAAGAATACTCACTCATCATTTTCAAATTCTGGAGGGATTAGGTAGGGAGAAAATCAAATGCTTTATTTCTGTTTACAAATGCATAATCTACCAGATTGTGGTCAACTACAGATAGCGTAGGATAAAAGAGAAAACATTTCCTCAGATCTGGAAAACAAAATATTAAAGAACGAGCAATGTTTTGAAAAAAGGTAATTTTTTAAAGCATCATTTTTTTTCATCAGTTCATTTAGTCCCATCCAATTAATTTTTGTTTTGCCCAACATCGGGTTAACAGTTTTACAAACCAGTCAGTTTCTTCATTAGAGTTCTGGAAATTCTTACCCAGGCCAATGGTGGGATCTTAAAGTTATCAAAAACCTGTACTTGTTGGAGTCTTTTCCATGATCTCTTTGAAGACAAATTTTGACCATAGTGGCTTGCAAAAGCTTTTAGGAAAATATCACAGTAAAATAACATGTAAATTATAAAAGATTTTTAAGTAGTCACATTTAAATATCTAATGAGAGTTTCTTACAATCTAATTGATGAGGAAATTTGGTTATTTCTGTGACATACAACATTGTAAAATAAGATGTAGAATTCTGATTGATAACATTATATCAGACATATGATGAATAGCTAAGGGTATTGACAAATTTTAAAGAATTTTATTTCTGAAACACTCTTATTAGTAACATGTGCCCATATAAATATAAAGAAAGCTAAACGTCACTTTTACTTGACAGTGCTTCCCACATAATTTAACATATCAAATAAGCCAATTAGTTTAATGTCCCTCTTTTACAAGGTGAGAGAGAAATTCTTTCACATTTTCCAGGAGCCCATCTCAAAAGTCCCAAAGTTAGTTCAAGATCAATAAAAAAGGCTTAATTTAGAAATTAATCTTGGGAAGTTTGTCAGAAACGTCAAAAGGGGCCGAGTATGGTGGCTCACACCTTTAATCTCCACATTTTGGGAGGCCAAGGCAGGAGGATGGCTTGAGCCTGGGAGTTAATACCAGCCTGGGCAACACAGACCTATCTCTACAAAATATTTTTTAAAACATTAGCGGAAGATAGTAGCATGCACCAGTAGTCCCAGCTACTCAGGAGGCTGAAGTAGGAGGATCCATTGAGCCCGGGGGTCAAGGCCGCAGTGAGCTGTGATCATGCCACTGCATCGTAACCTGGGTAACAGAGTGAGACCCTATTTCAAAAAATAAAAACAATAATAAAAACTAGGAGTGGAAAGGATAGGGGTTTAGATGAAACAAGATTGCCCATGTATAACTGTTGATGCCTAATGATAGATACGTTGAGTTCAGTACGCTATTTTTTCTACTTCTATGTATTTAGAATTTTCCACTTAAAAAGTTTTTTTAAATAGATTGACAGAGGTTTATCAAAGTTCATAATATTTCAATTTTTCCAAATATTTTAGATATAATGGGTTAAATGGGATACTTTTCAACCTTTCAGTGAAAGAGTAAGACATACAATTTATAGTCATTTGGTATGTCTTGATAAAGCTTTTTTGGTATACTTCCCAGACATTGAGAAATCAAGTGATTCTAATGACTGGCCATTAAATCCTTCTGCAAGTCAAGCAGTCTCCACTATTTTGTTTTCAACAAAAAGGAAGACAGATATATCCATCAATAGAAATTAAAAATTAATGAGAAACCACTATGCGGTTTTGGCATTTATTTTGGAAGGAGTACAAAGAATTGAGTGGCATTAGCATAACAGAATTGATTATATTTCTATTGATTCGTTTATATGAACAAGGCTTCTCAATTTTTGCACTGAAGTAATTTCATTTAAAAATGTTAATATCTACAATGTGCTAGAAATTACATCCTTTGCAAATATTCATGATGAAAAAATTTTAGAAGTTCAGCTTAAAATCAAGAGAAGACCTAAATTTTTAAAAATCCCTTTAGTGAATACAGAAGTAAAAAAGTTTGAAGACCATTGCCTTAAAGAAAAACTTACATGAATGCATAAGGATATTTTGTAAGAAGACTCATGATAGTAAAAAGCTACAAACAACCCAAATATTCATCAATACTGCATTGGATAAGCAAATTATAGAATATCCACACAGTGGAATGATATTCAGCAGGAAAAATGAACAAAACACAATTACCTACATCAACATGAATAAATATCATATACATAATGTTTAATCAAAGAAGAACCGTTCTTTTCCCAGAAGAATACAGAATCTGATTCCATTTTTGACAAGGTTAGTCGTGGAAAAAAACTAAAAATATATATTGTTTAGAGCAACAGACATAGGTGATACAAAACTATAAAGAAAAGCAAGGAAAGGCTGGGCGCGGTGACTCACGCCTGTAATCCAAACTCTTTGGGAGGCCAGAGCAGAAGGATTCCTGAGGACAGGAGTTCGAGACCAGCCTGGGCAAAACAGTGAGGCCCTATCTCTACAAAAAAAAAAAAAAAATTGGCCAGGTGAGGTGGTGCACAAGGTGATCTTGCTACACAAAAGTCCAAAGTGGGAGGATCGTTTGAGCCCAGGAGGTCAAGGCTGCAGTGAGCTATGATTGCACCACTGCACTCCAGCCTAGGCAATGGAGCAACACCCTATCTCAAAAAAAAGAAAAAGAAAGAAAGTGAATGATTAACACAAAAGAGAGGATAGTAATAATACCCTAGCGACAGGGAGAGGAACTCATGGAGGTGGGATGGGAAGCTTCGAAGGGCAATGCTCTACTCCTTAAACTGGGTATGGCTTTATTGAGCTTTATGCTGTACATATACTCTTATATATATATATTCATGATATACTTAACTATAAATATAGCTCAACCATATTGAAAAACATGAAACAAGACCTGAACAAACAGAAAAACAGACCATGTTCTGGTATGAAAATACTTACCACTATGAAGATATACATTCTTCCAAAATGGATATATACATAATTAAATTCCAATTGAAATCTGTTGTTTTTGTGTGTGGAATTAGATATGCTTTCTTCAGGCTCCCTTGTGCGGAAAAAAAATGCCTGAACATAAGTTAGTCTGGCATCGGCATAAAACACACAAATAAATCAGTAGGACAATATACATAGTACATAATGAATCCTAGTTAATAATGGGAATAAATGTATGAAAAAGCAGAGGAAAATTGGTTATTTAGTTAAGTGGTGAGGAAAAAACAGCTTTCCAATTAGAAGAAAGTAAAGCTGGGCTGCTACCTCACACTACATAAAAATCCAAGAGGCCGGGCACAGTGACTCACACTGTAATCCCAACACTTTGGGAGGCTGAGACAGGTGGATCACGAAGTCAAGAGATCGAGACCATCCTGACCAACATGGTGAAACCCCATCTATACTAAAAACACAAAAATTAGCTGACCGTGGTGGTGCCCGCCTGTAGTCCCAGCTACTTGGGAGGCTGAGACAGGAGAATCGCTTTATCCCGGGAGACGGAGGTTGTAGTGAGCCGAGATCGCACCACTGCACTCCAGCCTGGCAACAGAGCAAGACTCCATCTAAAAAAATAAAAAATAAAATAAAATCCAAGAAGGATTGAATTTGTGTCTGTAAAAAAATAACATGAAAATCTTAAGACAAAATACAGGAGATTATATGTACAAGCCAAGAGTTGAATGTACTTTCTTAACCAAGACATGAAGCCAGAAGTTATAAAAGAAAAGATGGCTTTAAAGTGTTTAATATGGCAAAGATGCCATAAACAAATTTAAAGATAAAAAAATAAATTTTTCTCTTGAGCCCAGGAGTTGTAGGCTGCAGTGAGATCTGATTGCACCACTGAAATCCAGCTTGGGTAACAGAGTGAGACCTCATCTCTAATGAAAAAAAAAAAAATTAAGATGAAATTTTAAAATCTATGTTACCAAAAAAACTCACAAAAATAAAAATGTGCAACATCCTTAGACTGTTCACAGATGAACAATCAATGGCCAATACACATGTGAAAAAAATTCACTTCATAATGAAGGAAATGAAAATCAAAACAACTTGAAAGCATTGTAAAAAGTTATATACTATTGACAAAAATTAGGGGTGAGCTGAGGTCTGGAGGTCGAGATCAGCCTGACCAACATGGAGAAACCCCATCTCGACTAAAAATACAAAAGGCCGGGTGTGGTGGCACATGCCTGTAATCCCAGCTACTCCGGAGGCTGAGGCAGGAGAATCGCTTGAATCCGGGAGGCGGAGGTTGCAGTGAGCCAAGATCGCGCCATTGCACTCCAGCCTGGGCAACAAGAGCAAAACTCCATCTCAAAAAAAAAAAAAAAAAAAAAAATAGTGGTGAGGTTGGGAAGAAACGCAAAAGATGCTTTAATGCATTGCTGGTAAATGTAAATTATTACAGCCTTTTAAGAAAGCTCTCAATAGGATTTATTTTATTTTAAAATATTTATACACTTTAATGCATCAACCCTATTCCAAAGACTCCGTCTCATGGCAATAAAAGCTCCAGTTAGTATAGTCTGGTTTTGCAGAATTGTTTCTAGAGGCAAAAACATAGGAAGAGAGGTAAAAGTGCATCAGTAGGGATACTCATATTGGTATACTCATATCATGGAAATATTATGCAGCACTAAAAAGGATTATTAGAATGGCTAAAATTAAATACACTGAACACACTGAGTGTTGGTGAAGATGTGGAGGGACTGGTGGTATATAAAATGGTGCAATTGGCCGGGCTCAGTGGCTCACGCCTGTAATCCCAGCACTTTGGGAGGCCAAGACAGGCAGATCACCTGAGGCCAGGAGTTCAAGACCAGCCTGGCCAACATGGCGAAATGCTGTCTCCACTAAAAATACAAAAAAAAAAAATTAGCCAGGTGTGGTGGCAGGCGCCTATAATCCCAGTTTCTCAGGAGACTGAGGCAGGAGAATTGCTTGAACCCAGGAGGCGGAGGTTGCAGTGAGCTGAGATCACACCAGTACACTCCAGCCTGGGCAACAAGAGCAAAACTGCATCTCAAAAAAAAAAAAAAAGTGGTGCAATGACTTTAGAAAACAATTGGCCAGTTTCTTAAAAAGTAATCTTACACACCCATAATATGACTCAGGCATTCCACTCCTAGGTATATTCCTAAGAGAAAAGAAATCATGTGTTCATAAATGTCTTATACCTGATCATTCATAAAGCTTTATCTGCAATAGGCAAAAGTTGGGAATAAACAAAATATCTATCAACAGGTGAATGGATAAACTAACTGTAGCATATCTATACAATGGAATATGACTTCTCAATAAAAAGATATGAGCTACTGATTCACACAACATGGGTGAACCTCAAAATTATTATGCTCAGTGGAAAAAGTCAAACAAAAGGAGTACATATAGTATATATGGTGTGATTCCACTTACTCTAGAAAATGCTCACTATTCTATAGTGACAAAAAGCAAGTCAGTGGCTGCCCGGGGATGGGGGTGAGAAGTGTCAGGAGGAAGGACTGACAAGGGTCATGAGGATATTTTGGGGGGGGCCAATGGATATGTGTCAAAACTTATTAAATCGTACACTTTAAATATGATTCTCTCTCTCCCACTCTGTCTCTCTCTCCCTCTGAATTCTCCCTCTCTCTCCCACTGAAAACTGGAATAAGACAAGGATGACCACTCTCACCACTCCTATTCAATATGGTACTGGAAGTACTAGCCAGAGCAATCAGGCAAGAGAAAGAAATAAAAAGCATTCAAATAGGAAGAGAGGAAGTCAAACTATCTCTGTTTTCAGACAATATGATTTTATATGTAGAAAACCTCATAGTCTCTGCCCAAAAGCTCTTACAGATTCAAGACAAACAACTTTAAGAAAGTTTCAGGATAAAAACTCAATGTACAAAAATTAGTAGCATTTCTATACACAAACAACGTCCAAGCTGAGAGTCAAATCAAGAATGCAAGCCCATTCGTAATAGCCACGCACACAGAAAAAAATAAAATACCTAGGCATTTTCAAATCTCTTTCAGTAAAATATCTTTCACCTCCCTAACCAAGGAGAGTTTTGTAATTCTCAACCCCAGTGAGGCGAAAGATCTCTACAATGAGAATTACAAAACAATGCTCAAAGAATTTAGAGATGACACAAACAGATGAAAAAACATTTCATGCTCATAGATAGGAAGAATCAATATTGTTAAAATGGCCATACTGCCCAAATCAATTTACAGATTCAATGCTATTCCTATCACACTACAAATTACCTTTTTAAAGAATTAGAAGAAACAATTCTAAAATTCATATGGATCCAAGAAAGAGCCCAAATAGTCAAAGCAATCCTAAGCAAAAAGAACAAAGCTGGAGGCATTACATTACCTGACTTCAAACTTTCCTAGAGAGCTACAGTAACAAAAAACAGCACGGTGTGGTACAGAAACAGACATATAGACCAATGGAACAGAATAGAGAGCCCAGAAATAAAGCCACACACCTACAACCATCTGATCTTCAACAAAGTCAACAGAAACAAGTAATGGGGAAAAGACATCCTAGTCAATAAATGGTGCTGGGATAACTGGCTACCCATATGCAGAAGATTGAAACCGGACCTCTTCATTTCACCATATACAAAAATCAACTCAAGGTGGATTGAAGACTTAAATGTAAAACCAAAACTACAAAATCCTAAAAGAAAACCTAGGGAATACCATTCTAGACATAGGCCCTGCCAAAGATTTCATGACAAAGATAACAAAAGCAATTGCAACAAAAACAAAAATTGACAAATGGGACCTAATTAAACTAAAGAGCCTCTGCACAGCAAAAGAAACTACCAACACAGTAAACAAACAACCTACAGAATGAGAGAAAATATTTGCAAACTATGTGTCCAACAAAGGTCTAATAACCAGAACCTATAAGGAACTTAAACAAATTAACAAGCAAAAACCCTTTTAAAAATGGGCAAAGGACATGAACAGACACTTCTCAAAAGAAGTCATATACATGGCCAACAAGCTTATGAAAAAATGAACATTACTAATCATTAGAGAAATGCAAATCAAACCCACAATGAGATACCATCTCACACCAGTCAGAATGGCTATCATTAAAAGTCAAAAAGTTTGGGAGGCCGAGGGGGGTAGATCATGAGGTCAGGAGTTTGAGACCAGCCTGGCCAACATAGTGAAACCCCATCTCTACTAAAAATACAAAAAATCAGCTGGGCATGGTGGCAGATGCCTATAATCCCAGCTACTTGGGAGGCTGAGGCAGGAGAATCGTTTGAACCTGGGAGGCGAAGGTTGCAGTGAGCCAAGATCGCGCCACTGCACTCCACTCCGGGTGACAGTGGGAGACTCCATCTCACCAAAAAAAAAAAAAAAAAAAAAAAATCAAAAAGTAACAGATGCTTGAGGTTGTTAAGAAAAGGGAATGCTTATACACTGCTGATGGAAATGTAAATTAGCTCAGCCACTGTGGAAAGCAGTTTGGTGATTTCTCAAAGAACTTAGAACTACAATTTGAACCAGCAATCCCATTACTGAGTATATACCCAAAGGAATATAAATCATCCTACCATAAAGACGCACACATGCATACGTTCATCGCAGCAATATCTGTGATAGCAAAGACCTGGGATCTACCTAGATGGCCATCAATGGTAGACTGAATAAAGAAAATTGCTACATATATACCTGTATATGGAATACTATGCAGTCATAAAAATGAGATCATGCCTTGTGGCAACATGGATGGAGCTTCAGCCCATTATCCTAAGCAAACTAACACGGGAACAGAAAACCAAATACCACATGTTCTCACTTACAAGTGGGAGCTAAACACTGAGCACACATGAACACAAAGAAGGGAACAAGAGACTCTGGGGCCTACTTGAGGGAGAAGGGTGGGAAGAGGGTGAGGATCAAAGAACTACCTATTGAGTACTATGCTAATTGCATAGGTGATAAAATAATCGGTACACCAAATCCCCATGACACACAATTTACCTGTACAACAAACCTGCACACATACCCCTAATCCTAAAATAAAAGTTGGGGGAAAAGAAACAATAGATGTTGGCATGGATGTGGTAAAAAGGGAAATTCGTATAATCTCTATGGAAAACAATGTGGAAATTTCTGAAAGAACTAAAAGTAGATCTACCATTCAATCTAGCAATCCCACTACTGGGTATCTACCCAAAGGAAAAGGAGTCATTATATCAAAAAGACACTTTCACATATATGTTTATTGCAGCACAATTCATAACTGCAAAGATATTAAACAAACCTAAGGGCCCATTAACTGATGAGTAGATAAAGAAAATGTTTTATATATGTGTGTGTGTATATATATGTATGTTATACATACACACATGTGTATGTATAACATATATATACCATAAGATTTTATATATACACATATATACATATACATATATTATATATATATATATTCACCTTAAATGAGACAAGCCAGGCACAAAAAGACAAACATCACATGTTCTTTTTTTTGAGAAAGAATCTCACTCTGTCACCCAGGCTGGAGTGTAGTGGCATGATCTTGGTTCACTGCAACCTCCGCCTCCCAGATTCAAGTGATTCTTTTGCCTCAGCCACCTAAGTAGGTGGGTTTACAGGTGCGCGCCACCATGCCTAGCTTAGTTTTGTATTTTTAGTAGAGATGGGGTTTCACCATGTTGGCCAGGCTGGTCCCGAACTCCTAGCCTCTAGTGATCTACCCACCTCGCCTCCGAAACTGCTGAGTTTATAGGCGTGAGCCACCGCACCTGGCCCATATGTTCTCACTTATATGTGGGAGTTCAAAAAATTTGATCACATGGAAGTAGAGGGTAGAATGATGGATACCAGAGGCTGAGAAGGATGTGGAGGGCAGGAAGGTGAAGAAAGGTTGGTCAGTGGGTACGAATATACGGTTAGATAGAAGAATAAGTTCTAATGTTCGATAGCAGAGCAAGGTGACTATAGTTAACAATAATGTATTGTATGTTTCAAAATAGCTAGGAAAGAGGACTTGAAATGTTTTCAACACATGGAAATGATAAATACTCCAAGTAATGGATACCCTTAATAGCCTGATTTGACATTACACATTCTATACATTTAATATTACATATACTCCATAAATACATATTTTATGTATCGATAAAAACTTTTTTAATTTACAAAAAAAAATCCCAGGACTGAGTCTTATGGGACAGCCTTGGATTACAAACCCATATCTGAACCCATCACTGTAGCCCGAGGGATAGAGCATACCAAGTCCCTGTGGTGCAAGGAGGATTAAGTTAGAGTCACTTAAAACCCAAGGACGGAGGAGGGAGGAATAATGTTTTCAAAGAAAAATCAGGGACCTGTTCCAGGAAGGAGCAGAACAGATGCAAAGCTGCAACAATAACCAATGTTTACTAAAGTCATTCAAGAAAGATTAATCATTTATTTATTGATAATCTTGGTGCACACTAGAGCAATGTAATTTGGGAACTTATTTATGCATAATTTAAGTAAATGTGTCCAATTTCTAAGTTATTTGGGGTTTTCTTTACGATTTTTAAATTTTTAATTTTTTTCTACCCCTTCATGCAGTAATACCTGGAGTGAGTGAATTTTAAAATTCAAGTCCAAAATTATCTTCTCTCAAAATCCTAAGGACATTGCTCTGTTTGTTATCCAGCTTCTGTTAGGTCCGATGCCAATCTGATTCTTACACCTTGGTAAGTGACCTAGCTGCTGTTGTTATTATTGCTGCTGTTGTTGTTTGCGTTTTGGAGTCTTCTTATCCTTGGGGCTCTGGAACTTCATATATATGAGTCTAAGTGAGTATTTTTTTCCTACTTATTGTGCTTCCATTAGGCAATCCTTTTCGCTCTGCAAACCAAAGTCTTCCTTAACTCTGTGCAGCTCCCTTCCCATGCCTTCATATTTCCTCTTTCTTCTGTTCTCACTCAGAGATGCCTGCCAGTGGATGTCCAATCTCAGATGGCCCTCTTGAATTGTTAACTTTTCACTAATATTTTATGCCACTTTCTCTTTTTCATCATTTTCTAAGTAAAGGGTTTTTGGGGGGAGTTTAGTTTAGGTGGTTTTTGTTGTTTGTTTTGTTTTTTTGTTTGTTTGTTTTTTTGTTTTTTGAGACAGAATCTCACTCTGTTGCCCAGACTGGAGTACAGTGGTGCAATCACAGCTCACTGCAGCCTCACACTTCCCGGGCCCAGGTGATCCTCCCATCTATGCCTCCCACGTAGCTAGGATGTAGTCCCAAGCTACAAGTGCATGCCACCATGCTCGGCTAATCTTTGCAATTTTTTTGTAGAGACAGGGTCTCCCTGTGTTGTCCAGGCTGGTCTTGAACTCCTGGGCTCAAGTGACCTGCCTGCCTCAGCCTCCCAAAGTGCTAGGATTACAGGTGTGAGCCACTGCGCCCGGCCAATAAAGGGTTTTTTAACTTCAGCAATTATATTTTCAATCTCTAGGTAACTCTTGTCTTCTAATTGTCTCTCTATATAGCATGTTCTTATTGTTGATAGATGCACGAGACTGCCATAAACTATAGTCTTAATCTCACTGAAGATGTTATTTGGACTTTCTCCTCTTCTGCTGCTCTTAGGGTCTGTTTTTCCATCGGCTCATGCAGTCTTCTACTGTTCACCTGTGTGGTGAGCCCTGGCTTTCCATTCGTCCTTGCAAATGGAGTAGGTAGTCAGACACCTGCTGCCTCTGCCCTCGTGGAAACCCTCCTGGTACCCTTCTCCCCGCTGGGGCAGTCTGGTTAAGGACTCTGAGTCTGTCAGGCAGGGTTTTCAACCCCCATAAAGTCCAAAAAATGGGACTTTGTTGTGCAGTGTCACTGCCCTATTTAAACTTACCTCTCACCAGATAGATTGCCCAATTCTTCCAGTAAAGGGCTGTTTGCCTTGTCCTGACTGCACTCTGGCTTCTCTTGTGAACCAGGTCATTCGATGGATCCTAGGATGTCACATGGTTGTCTCGTTTTAAAGAAGTAAATGACCAAAGCAGATAGGTTTAGTCATAAAGCCAGAATGGTTCTAGTTAAAGATGATGGAAAGGATCCAGGGGAAGTCTTCAGTTTTAAAAAATTTTAATGATTCTATTTAAATTTTTTTTTTGATTAGAGAATATTCAAAACATACAGGTGGGCAACACCTCAAAAGTACACCCACACACACCTCACCTTCTAGATGCTCGGTTTCCCCCCCTAGAGGCAGTCAGTGTTGCTACTTTGGGTGTTTCCATCTGAAACTATCCTACGCGTATACAAACAAATAAACATATATTTACATATTTGTGTGTATTTGCATACATTGCAAAGAATATATACAATGTTATGTTACACAAGTTTTTGTAACCCGAATTTACTCATAAGGGGGTGATAAATTAGGGGAATGACGGCGGTATAACGTAGAGGCACATTAGTGCGTATATGATTTTCTTCCCAGTACTGTGTATTATACAATGTTTTATCCCAAGAAACACGAAGTTCACTATTCAGCTCTTACCGGCAGGTGGCGCCCTCTGGCTGTACGTGATGCCCACTCCCATCTCCTTTCTCTTGGATCAGTTCTCCTCTGTCTTGGAGGTACTTTTCCATGCTTCTGGCTCATCTTTGCACATTTTCCGCTTGTGTCCTTGACTCAGCTGACTTCACTCTTCCTTACAGCTCTTTCCTCAAGCTAACTTCACCTTATTTCTAAAAGTAAAGAGGTTTCTTTTTTCTTTTTTATTACAGTGTTTCTACATTTATAAGAAATTTAACTTGTCTTCTCATTGTACTAATATCTGTATTAAGACTGGTTTTTTGCTTTTGTTAGCGCTCTTCACAAAGCACTAATTTTCAACAACGTGATCCAACCATAACTCTCTCATAAGTCTGTTGTTTTTAACATGAAATATTTAAGGAATGCAAGATTTTTCAGCAATATATAAATGTTACAGCAGAAATGTCCATACTGTTCCCCACCACCACTACCCGCACTTTTAAAATAAATCATAGCACACTCTACACACTGAGTTCACTGAGTTGTGTTTGCTTTTTTTTTTTTTTTTAGATGGAGTCTTGCCCTGTCACCCAGGCTAGAGTGCAGTGGCACAATCTCAGCTCACTGCAACCTCCACCTCCCAGGTTCAAGCGATTCTCCTGCCTCAGCCTCCTGGGTAGCTGGGATTACAGGTGTGCGCCACCACGCCCAGCTAATTTTTGTATTCTTAGTAGAGACAGGTTTCACCATGTTGGTCAGGCTGGTCTCAAACTCCTGACCTCATGATCCACCCGTCTCAGCCTCCCAAAGTGCTGGGATTACAGGTGTGAGCCACCGCGCCCAGCCTTGCTTTTATTTTTTAATGAGATGAGTACATAAATAGCCTCTTCATGCTTTTTTCAGCTGCAGAGTGCAGGTATTAAGACGTAAATGGGATCTAGAATTCTGATTTGATTCTGTTTCTCTAGCACCGACATTAAGATAGACTCTTGGGGATCCAGTGTTCACAGGCACTGTTACTCCACCTGGATTTTGTCTACAGAGTGAATTATCTAAGACAAATAAACTATACATTTTATGTATATGTATATATAAATGTACATATACATTTTATGTATATGTATATATAAATGTACATATACATTTTATGTATATGTATATATAAATGTACATATACATTTTATGTATATGTATATATAAATGTACATATACATTTTATGTATATGTATATATAAATGTACATATACATTTTATGTATATGTATATATAAATGTACATATACATTTTATGTATATGTATATATAAATGTACATATACATTTTATGTATATGTATATATAAATGTACATATACATTTTATGTATATGTATATATAAATGTACATATACATTTGCAAAACTTGAGTTTATATGCAGCTTTTTAAGGAACAGAACACTTGCTTGAAGTGAGTTTCCCCAAAGTATCTGAATGCCTGCCACACTCTCCTCTCCCCCATTACATGGTATTTCCTCACAGTTCAGATTGGCAAGTGCACTTGGGGTCACCCCAGACACATACCTTGCTCAGGAGCCTCTGAGTGCAGCTCCTAAATATCTGGGGCCTACAGCCTAGACAACCCACTTAAGTGCTAGTTACTATACCTAGTCTCTCAGCCTATTATAATTGGGACTCTTTCAACCGCACATGTCGTAAGCAAAAGATTGCTTAATGATCGTATACTAAAATGGTCAGGACTCAATCTGGCTTCAAGCACTGCTGAATTCAGAATTCAAGCAATACAATCAGGTGTGAGTTGTTTGTTGTTTCTCACCTGTCAGCTCTGACTTCCAGGTTGTCTTCATTCTGAAGCTCCTGGGGTGGTCTTTGGCAGCTCCAAGTGGACTTTTCACAGGGCAATGATGGCTGCCACAGCTCCAGCTTACATCCGTCTAGGTTCAAGTTCAGTGAGGAAAGCAAGAGCCTGTGATGGTGGCATAACCCAGAAGCCCTAAGATTTACTCTGATATGACCCATTCAGGCCATGTGCCCACATTTGAAACAATCTCCATGGCCTGGGGAAAATGATCTGCGGTTTAAGTTTGGGTCACAGGCTTTATCCCTGGAACTAAGGACAGAGCCCCACCATGAACACTTAGCCTGATAAAAAGGAAAAGGTAGGTCCAAAAATGGAAATCTGGGGCTGTTATTAGAAGAAAAGAGAATGGATGCAGGGCCATTTCTTGTTAGATTCTATGCTAGCACTAACTCGATGGTTCTCAAAAAAAATTTCCCCACCACAACAATTTCAACCAAGAATGGTGGTGTAACTTGAGAAAGTCCCTAGAGGATTTCACAACATCTCCAATTGCAAAAGTTCTCCCAGCTCACACCAAGAACCACTGGCCTACTCGATTATTCCCCAAATATGTCCTGTTGATCACATTGCAAACTGTTCAATACAAACGGCTTAAACAAACTCCATGTACAGCTGGAAAAAATAATTCATTCCATTTATTGATTCATCCAACAAATATTTAGAAGCTGTCCTCCCAACTCCCCCTAATATCTCTCTTGTGTATACAAGGCAGGAGGATTTGTTTGCCATTACAATTTATTGCTGACTTCCAAGTTTATATATACCAAATGCTCCTAAACTCCAGGCTAACATGTCCAAATGCCTTCTCAACATCTCAACCTGATCTCTAAAAATCCTCTCATATTTAACATGCCCCAAATTGAACTCCTGTTTTCTGTCATTTAAAAATGTTCCCTCCATAGTCTTCCATGTCTTGGTAATTAACAATACTTTGAAACAAAAACTTGGAAGCTGTCCTTTGCTCCCCTTCTTTTCTTACAACCCACATTCATCCTGTTTGGGAACCCTGTAAGTTCTGCTGCCCAAATATATTGAGAATCCAATCACTTCTTGCTACTTCCACTGCCACCATCATGGTCCAAAGCACATCAGTGCTTGCCTGGATTATTACAAGAGCCTGCTCAGTGTCCTTTGCCCTTTATCCCTAGCTCAGTAGTCAGGATTCATCCTTCTCACCCACCCACCCCCAATTCCACACATTCCCAGTTACAAAATGCTCTAGAAGGAACTGTAACAAGAGGCATCTAGCCCTACCTTTGCTGAAGAAGGGCAAGGCCCATCTCCTGGGGTTCCTGGCTCCTGCAGCCTCAGCATGGCCACATGTCCCTGCATCTGACTCCTAGGACCACAAACACTGACATACAACTGGTTCAGGGTTAGGATGTGGGAGGCCCCCTGGACATCTCAAGTAGCCCCACGTCAGTGACCATACAGACCCTTCTCTGACTCACTAACCCATTGAAGCCACTCATGCACCCTCCCATCCTCATCTCCACAACCACCAGCCAGTGTGCATGTCATCTTTTCTGAATGCAGCCTCCCAGATTTTGTTAACTTCACAAGGAAATTTTCTGGGCTGCGGAAGAGATCAGCAAATGAGTGAAACAAAATCATAAGATGCTGCTCCCCAGGCTCACGAACCTGATCCAGAGGAGCTTCTCTCTGTTCCTGGGCTTCAGGAACAGGCATGTGATGAGGGCACAAAAGACTAGACAGTAGGATGAAGTTCCAGAAGCGCCAGGCTTGGCAGTTTTCTGTCCTGACTGAGAACATGTTTGGTGAAGAAGAAAACAGCCAGCCACCAGAGCTGTTACTTTCAAGACAGACTTGGGCTTCCATATCTAAAAATATGGAAGTCTGGAGGCCTAAATCATCTAAAACATAATAATGTCATTAAATTAGAAATCAATAAGATCTAATGTAACTCAAGTATTCATTTTTTAGCAATGCAGTAGCCCAAAAGCCTTAAAAAATACTCACTACAAAAAAGCAGAAAATTCTGGACACAAATAGTTATTTTAAATTTTTGTAAATTCATTCAGAGCAACTGTCAATTTCTGTTAACTTGTTAAAAACTTGAGTTTTCATGGCTACATAGAGGACAGAAGAAAAACTGAGTGCCAACACAGGTGGAAAACAGATTTAGGTGCTTATATGAAACCAGGATGTTCAAATTATTCTATTTTCTGGCTGGGCACGGTGGCTCACGCCTGTAATCCCAGCACTTTGGGAGGCTGAGGCGGGCGGATCACTTGAGGTCAGGAGTTTGAGATCAGCCTGGCCAACATGGTGAAATCCCGTCTCTACTAAAAATACAAAAATTAGCCGGGTGTGGTAGTGGGCACCTGTAATCCCAGCTACTCGGGAGGCTGAGGCAGGAGAATCACTTGAACCTGGGAGGTGCGATTGCAGTGGGCCATACTCCAGCCTGGGTGACAGAGTGAGACTCTGTCTCAAAAAAAAAAAAATTATATTTTCAAGAGAAAAATAAACCCAAAAGAATTTTGCCCATAACAAACTGCGGCAAGGGCACTACCTTGGTTCTGGATAGAAAGGAAAGACTCTCCTGAGAAACTGTCGGCATTATAGCTCACATGTAGATTTGAGGCCTGCCTTAGTTTAGATTTCCCCAAAGCAGACTATGGCAAGGATGTGGATACACATAATTTATTTTGGATCCTGGAGATCACAAGTGAGAGAGTTAGGAGAGTGAGAAAGAAAAGGAGAAAAAAAGAGCATGTGCACTATGGGCTTAATCCACTAGAAATCTTTTGAAAAATATGTAGAATTTATAGCCTCAACTTATGATACCAAAAAATCTCAATCTGGGAATTTTTTAAATCCCAAACTTATAGTGATCCCAGGTTTCTGGCAGAAACAAACTAAAATCTTCTCTGAAAAAAGTACATTCATCAACCTAGGTTTCAAATATATCCCACAGATAAAGTTCCAACAAACATGAGGTCAAAATTTTTTTTTAAATCACAAAACATATAATTAAATAAAATATTTTTATATAAAAATCCCACAGCTAACACCAACGGTGAAAGACTGAAAGCCTTTTTGCTCATATCTGAAATGAGATGAGGAGGCTTATTCTTGCCATTTCTATTCCATGTAGTACTGGAAGTTCTAGCCGGAGCAAGTAGGCAAGAAACATAAATAAAAGGCATCCAAGCTAGAAAGGAAGAAGCAGAAGTATCTCTGTTCTCAGACAACATGATTTTATAGGTAGAAAACCCTAAAGATTTCAAACTCAGACACACACACACAAAAAATCTGTTTGAACTAATAATCTGTTTGAACTAATAAGTAAATTCAGCAAAGTTGCAGGATACAGAATCAACATTCAAAAATCAGTTGCGGGGCCAGGTATGATGGCTTATGCCTATAATCCCAGGACTTTGGGAAGTTAAGGTGAAAGGACCACTTCAGTCCAGGAATTCAAGGCTGTGGTGAGCTATGATTACACCACTGCACTCCAGCCTGGGCAATAGAGTGAGACTCTGTCTCTTTAAAAAAAAAAAAAAAAAAGGAGATGAACCTGAGTGGACTTTGCTCATGCCCACACTAAAACCTCCACCCGGGGAAGTTACAGTTTCCTGTTCATTGTACACCACCTATATGCTGGCATGAGGACTCGCTGAGTGCAGCTGAGAATCCTCTGCATGTGATGACGATGACGCACCCTCTCCACGGCCCCATAAGCCCTCCTGTCACTTTCTGTCGGGGAGGCATGGCTTTGGAGAATACCCTCAGTGCTCTCCTCACTTGTACGAAGTACAAGGCCTCCCATTAATGAAAACCTGAGTTCCCGCTAAAAGTTGTTTGTTACTTGGCAAGTGAACAAACCTCGTTTTTAGGGGTGAAACAGGAGGAATAGATTAAACCAGTAAGAAAGTGAGGAGTCAGGGGAGGGAGGTAAATGAGATAAATCCTGAAGTTCACAGCAGCACCTAGTGAAAGTGAATTCCTACTTCAGGAGGGGATTTTTTTGTACATTTGGCAGTTTTCCTAATATTTTGTTGCAACTTTTTGTGTGAGTGCTTCTTTGGATCTGAGGCTCCAGGCTTTCTCTGTGAAGTTTGACACCACAGGGCCTCATGCCATCCGCTAGAGAACCCTAAAGATTTCTTTAGAGTTAGAAATATCTGTAAAAGCAGACTCTGGGTTTTTGCAGAGGCAAGAGGTGGTCAAAAGAATTTTCCCAGTACAAGAAAATCCTCTCCTTTCTGCCATTTCATATCCTCCTCCTCTAGAAATACTTTTCCAGGAGGTTTTCCTGGTTGACCCAGGCAGCTAAGGTAGCAGAGGGCAGGGTAATTCCCAAGTGCCTCCCACACTGAGCAACAGAATTAGACACCACCCATCACCCACATCACATGAGCAAAGGCTGTGAATGCGAAGCCCAGACACTACTCCCTCTGCAACTTTCCTGCGGCCAGTCACTTCTGGAAACCTTGCCCTGCATCCCTCTTCCTTGTCTCAGCTGGAGTGGGGTGAGAAGAGCAGTGGGAAAGCAGCAGGGAAGAGGAGTCAGCCCTGACCACACTTCCCTCCCCAGCTCCTCCCCGTCCAGCAATCTGAGTCTCCTCTGGGAGACAGGCAAACCATGATCCGATAACTGCAGTTGTGTTGTGTTGTTTTGTTTTGTTTTGTTTTGTTTTGTTTTATTTTGTTTTGTTTTTGAGATGGAGTCTCGCTCTGTCGCCCAGGCTGGAGTGCAGTGGCGCGATCTCAGCTCACTGCAACCTCCACCTCCCAGGTTCAAACCATTCTCCTGCCTTAGCCTCCCAAGGATCTGGGACTACAGGCATATGCCGCCAGGCCTGGCGAATTTTTTTGTATTTTTAGTAGAGATGGGGTTTCACCGTGTTAGCCAGGATGGTCTCGATCTCCTGACCTTGTGATCCGTCCGCCTCGGCCTCCCAAAGTGCTGGGATTACAGGCTTGAGCCACTGCACCCAGCCGATAGCTGCAGTTTTTAACACGAAAAGGATTGGGCAATGACAGAGTTGTGAAATCTAGAATCTGGTCCTGATGTTAAAGAACCCAAGATCCAATGGGGAATGAGTGAGTTGACAAAATACAGTTAAAAGAAGTGACTAGAAAACAAAAAAAGAAGAAGAATCATTTCCTGTTTATACTCTGAATGGTTTTAAATCCTTCAATAAATATGTTGCACACAAATAGGCTTGAGATTATCTGCATGCCCTCGTGCCAGGGCCGTGAAGTCATGCCCATCTGTGTCTGTGCAGTTTTACCACCAAGACTGAGCTGTGCAAAGAGACAAATAGCTGTCAGCTTTTCCAAGTAAACAGAAGCAGAAAGAAGGAGTGTCACATCTGACTTTCTACAGAGCACAAAGATTCAGACTTCTAAGGCTATTCACAGGAGGGGAGAGGGGAAAGGATGGGAAGGAGAGACAGGAATAGAGGAAGTGGGGCCGGGAGAGGGATCAGATAGAGGGGAGACCATCTTCACTCAGAGGCTTGGAAACTCCAGGGGAAAAATACAGAAGTTGCCCGGCAGAAAGGGGCCATTTTGTGCAACAACAACCCAGGGGGAACAAAGAAAAAGAAAAAAGAAAACCACCAAGTTGACATTTGTCTACCAGAGTAAAAAAAGGAAAAGAATTGCTACTGGATCTAGCCATAAAAGGACTAACTTAGAGACACTGAAGTACAGGAATTAATACTATCTTCAGCTAAGGAAAGAGACCACTTTTTACTTTTAATTTCAGTATTTCAAAACCACTAGAGTTTTTTTTTTTTTTTTGGCAGGGGGTGTAGGGGATGGAGTCTCACTCTGTCGCCCAGGCTGGAGTGCAATGGCATGATCTCAGCTCACTGCAAACTCTGCCTCCCAGGTTCAAGCGATTCTCCTGTCTCAGCCTCCCGAGTAGCTGGGACTACAGGTGAGCACCACCATGCCCAGCTAATTTTTGTATTTTTACTACAGACGGGGTTTCACCATGTTAGCCAGGATGGTCTCTATATCTTGACCTCATGATCCGCTCGCCTTGGCCTCCCAAAGTGCTAGGATTACAGGTGTGAGCTACCGCGTCCAGCCACCACTAGAATTATTTTGTAAAACTCCAAGGTTAACAAGTTCATGAAAAGAATGAAAACAAAGAGATTAAATTCAGAGCCCTGTTCTGTATCTGAATTCTTTCCTGCAAACCACCTAACTGTAATATTCATACCCATGCCCCTCGAAATGTACGAAGCACATATAGTGCCTGGGACCTTGTGAAAATGCAGGTTCTGACTTGGCTGGTCTGGCGTGGAGGAGATTTTGCATCTCTAGCCAGTTCCCAGGGTTGCCCATGCAGGCCAGTGGATCACACCTTGAGCAGCAAGAATTGAGACCACCCACTGGCTGCCAAAATTTTTCTTTTACAGAATATAGAAGTGAAAAAAAAAATCAACCTTTACCCCCTAGTCTCTAAAAAAAAAAATTTTTTTGTTGCTTATTGACTGAATATTTATTAATAACCCGTAGAAGGCTGAATACAAGAAAAACATAGCTCCCACCTTCCTCCAGCCCATGGAGAAGCTCAGGATTATGAGCCGAGAAACTGTGACATCTTCCCTCGCCTCCAGTCTGGACCAGGTGTGTCCGCATGCCACCTGCTCTGCTAGTGCCAACAGGTCAGCACTGTGCCATCCCATGGGGAGTGTGACCTGCACAGAGAATCCCGTGCTCTGCCCCCAAAGCCCTCATGATTATAGAGAACAGAGTAGAGTTTCTACTGCTCCTTCATTATCCCTGGCCAGGCTCTCCCTCCTTCACCTCATTCTGCTCCAGTGACACATCCCAAGGAACAGACATGCCCAGTTTGAAACAGGGCAGCTCCTGCAAAGCCCCACTCTGGGGTAGCAGAGTCATCTGCCTTACGTGGAAACAGAAAGAAAAGGTCCCAGAACAGAGTGGCAGGGCCTTGCTTTAGGGCAGAGAGGACATTCAGCAGGAGCTGCAAATGTCAGCACCCAAGGTCATCAGGACAAGATAACGAACAGACTTAAGTGGCCCCAGATTTCCAAGTATTTCTACTTCCTCTTTTTGACCATATAGCTGGGCCCTTGATAGAAGGACATTTCAGAAGCCTCTCTCGGCCTCAGACAGTTTTGGCTGATATCCAAAGCAGAAAGCAGAAGCTGCTCTTTCTGGCTTGTTAACGTCTGAGCTCCCGGAAGAGATTATACCAGAAAAGCCTAGGAGATTTACTGGAAATTATACTAGAGGAGACTGTGCTAGAAATGCCTGTGATTATAGAGATTATGCTAGAAGAGATGTTGTGAAGACAAAGGGGGTGGGGTGCCCCTCAGGCGGCACTTAGGGAGTGGGGAGCTGTCCTGGAGACCCTGAGGAGTCAGATGTGGAGGGAGAGGAGAGGCTGGTGGGACCAGGCAACAGAGGGCGATGGTGGCCTGAGGATGTGATGAGACCTCAGGGTGATATGCCAGGAACACCAGCTCCTGGGAACTGCAGCTTTCAGCTGTGGCAAAGGCAGGTGTGGTCCCACACCATGAGAGGCACCCCTTTATGGGGAACCCGGAGGGCTGCACAAAGGGCTCCTCAATAGTAAACAAGGAAGGGATTTTGAAAACGCAGTGCTGGGGCACACCTGATCCCCCTCTCAGGCTGTCCCAAGCTGTCTCCCGTCTCCCAGTGTCTGAGTTTGCTAGGGCTGCCGTAACAAAACACCGACTGAGGGGCTTAAACAGGAGAAATTTCTTTTCTCTCAGTTCTGGAAGGCCAAAGTCCAAGATTTGGCACCAGCGGAGTTCCTCTGAGGCTCTCCTTGGCTAGTAGATGCCGTCTTCTCCCTGTGTCCTCAGGTGGCCTTCCCTCTGGGCCTGTCGGCATTCTGATTGCCTCTAATATGACATCAGACATATTGGATGAGGGCCCACCACAATGATCTCATTTTAACTTAATTACCTCTTTCAAGACACTGTCTCCAAATACAGTCACATCCTGAGCTACTAGGGGTGAGGGCTTCAACATATAAATTTGGAGGGGACAAAAATTCAGCCTCTCACGCCCACCACCTCCCACCCTACCCCAGAAGCAAAAAAGGTTTCCTTCCTGCCTCAAGGACTCTGGTACTCTCCAGGCTTGAGGACCAGCCCTCTGTCCATGCTGCAGTATAGATTGAGATCTTTGCAGATGGAGTTCTGAATATCAACATCTGTGACAACTAAAAGACAACCCCCCTGCCCAACTTTGGCCAAAGTTCCTTGGAGTCAGGGTGGTGAGTGGGCAAGTAACTCAGTCCTATCAAATGTGCCCATGGACACTGAGGTCTGAGCAGCCCTGCGCACTCTGCGTTCTCATGGCTGTTCACGACATGAGCAACGGCAAGCTCAGGGTGCTCTGCCCCTGAGTGTCTGCTACTTTGCATTCTCCTTTCTCATGTTCCTTGTCTTCCTACAGTTCTTCAGCAAGCACACCACCTTCCTGCCTGCTGCATCGCTAACTTGGCAGTCAAGTAACATTTGTTCTTTGTAGTAAAGGGTTTATGCCTCACCTCTTAAGCAGACTGTAAACTTCTTGGTGTCAGAAGCTCTGTCTTAAGTCTGTGTGTATCATAACCCTGCACACAGCAGGACATGGTAGTCGGGAACGGTGAAGGGTCTGAGATCTAACTGTACATGCAGGTCAACAAGTCAGTCTGCCACAGTTTCATGGATGCTGGTAGAAGCCACAAAACCCCGAGTTATGACAAAAAACAATTTATTACACACGGCAATAGCAGTGGCCACGGTAGCAGCATTTTTGCGTGGGTTCTAGGACCCCAGTTCCCACAGACAATGCAAAGAGGCATTGCAGGTGACACCAGCACAGCCGGTGGGCTGGGTTCTAGAAAAGGAACCCTGAGCTTAAGGAATCTGATTCTTTTATAACAGGTGATCATGCCTGTCCTTTGGTCCAGAAGAAGACACTATTTTCCAAGGCTGCCCATTAGGAGGTGAGAACATCTTTGAAAAGGCAGTCAGTGCCACTGCTCACAAGATGTGTGGAAACATGAGACACGGGGAAAGGCAGCCATCCGCATTTTTTGATGGGTTAAGCATTCCCTGAAGCCTGGCTAAGTGAGGCCCCATAGGTTCTTGCCCTGCTAATGGGTCTCTTTCCACACTATCCATTTCAACCCAGCTTGGCTTCTGGGCTTAGCTACTTTACATTTGCCTGTTTAGCAAAGAATTGGGGGCTTCCATTACTCCATCACTGGCAGTAAAATAAATGTTGAGGTTCAGGAGATTCTAAATTCCTCTGAGATTCTAATGTCTTCTTTACTGGGGACTGAGGGAGGGATGGGGACTGCAATGGTTCTGAGTCCAAGTTTTTCTGCCTGATGATTTGTGGGCTCTGGACCCTGGGAAATGAGGAAACCAGCTGGCTACACACCCGCTGCTCATCCAAGGCTGGCTCCCCTTGGAAGGGATTCTTGAGCACTCCACACCCCTCAACAGCGAAACAGAACGTAACATTCTACACTGCAAGCTCCTACATCGGGGCCAGCAAGCTTTGTGTGTAAAAAGCCTAATAGTAAATATTTTATGCTTTGTGGGCCATTCAGTCTCTGTTAAGACTCCTCAACTCTGCCCTTGTGGCACAAAAACAGGTACAATGTGTAAAGAAATGGGTGTGGTTGTGTTTAGATACATTTTTATTTACAAAATTCAATGGCAGGCTGGATTTACCCCTCAGGCTGTAATCGGCTGACCCTGTCCATATTCTGAACACACTCCTGTCTCGCAGGCTTCTTTACAAGCCTCTATGTAAAGCACAGGCTGGTGAGGGCCCCAGGAAGAGCAGCACCGCCCTCGGCACAGGCCCCTACTCCAAGTCCTGTGCAGGAGCAGGTCTTGCCCAGCGCAGCAGCTCTGCACCTCTGTGGCACCGCTCTGCCAAGAGGGAAGGTGCAGGCCCTGCAGCCCATCGCCTTGGATCTGAAGACCAGCCCTGTGGGGCTGCTAAGTCATGAAACTGGCCTCATGGAGATTTCATAAAGCCCCTACCAGCTTTCCTGCCCTTCAGAAATGCTTACATCTATATATTTATGTTATATCTTCATATATAAAGAAAATGGAAAAAGTCAAAATCAGTTTGCTATCATTTACAATGAAAGGAAGGAAGACTAAGGATGTGTTTATGTGTGTGTGGAGACAGGAAAAGAGACAGAACCAACACTAATTACTGCAAAACGAAAAAAGAGAAAGGAAGGAAGACAGGGAGGGAGGGGGCAAAAATCTCATTCCATGCTCCACACAGTTCTCTTAAGTCTACAGGCCGAGGTTGTAGGAGCCTAGACAATCTCAGCAGGTAAGAAGATTCTAGGCCCACTAGACTTACACTTTACACTGAATTGAAGAAAATCATAAAAAGGGGTTTTGCCACCTGGATGTACAGCAGAACATAATTAAATTTAATCTTCTTGGGACAGTGTTTTAATGGGATAAATCAGCTCCCATTTAACCTCATACATAGCGACACAAAGAAAGGCCTTTCATGGCGCACGAGGTGTATAAACAAAGGGAAACCATATCTTTCTGGGCAAAACTGCTTTTCTGGATTGTTTATTATGTTTAATCAGCATTGTGGAAAATGCAACAATATCTGTTCATGGACTTGAGAACCCCAGAGTGGGAACAGCAGGTGCGGATGTGGGGAGAAGAAAGGAGGAGGGTCTGGAGAGCGGCCATAGGGGAGGCAAGTGTGAGGAGCCAGGAGTGGGGGCCCTGGGCTGCCCTAGACAGGGACATGCGGGCACCCCGTGGGGTCTTTGGCAGCTCACAGGACAATGGCAGTGGAGGTCTGCTCCCTAGAGGGCGAAGGGGGCACTGAATTCTCCCCCAGTAGCCTCTTCTCTGATCCTTCCTCATTCTGGAAAAAAAAGAAAAAAGAAATCCTTAGGGGAAAAGGATGCAGGCAGAGTTAGTATCATAGAACTCAGAAAGCAGAAAGAGGAAAGGAGGAGGGAAAGGAAAAGGTGACAGGAAAAGCAGATCAGGCAAAAAAAAAACAAGGTGGCAGAGGAAGGGGAGTCAGACGAACACCTGGGACAGGGCAGAGGGGAGAGTGGGGAGATCAGAGCAGAGGAGGGCGCAGAGAGGCACAGGGCGGCGACAGTTGGCCCAGGACCATGGTGATGGCCACATTCCCCAGACAGCAAAGGGGAGAGCTGCATATGGAAAGAAGCTGAGGGGCACCAGGCCCAGCCTCAGGTTCGGGTGCCCCTGGCCCCGCACTCCTACCTGTCCCACACACTCACCACCCAGACTCACGCTGCCCAGAGGCCCCTCCCCGACAACTCACCAGGGGCTGGGAGCTCTGGCCACACAAGTTTCGAAGACCTACTCCCAAGGAAACCAAGGACACAATGACCTTCAAGACACAGACAGCCAGGAACAGGGCACGGATTGCTGTGAACAACTTCTGGAGATAAGGGAAGAACAAAGATAGTCAGGTGTCAGCTACTCCAATGCTGCCCACATCACCACCCTCTCCACCCACCCAGGCACTGACTCTATCCAGCTTGCTGCTCCCACCACAGCTGACTGTGTTTCCAGCCACAGCTTCCATCCCGTTGGCTTGTCTGCAGAGTGAACTTATCACTCCCTGTCAAGAAGTGGAGACTATTCCTTCAACCCGTAGAATCTGGAAGGGCCTAGAACTGCTTTGGCCACAGTGAAAGTGACACTATACAGTGACAGGGAAGCCCTTAGCTGGTCTGGCAGCTTCTACTTTCTGTCTCCTGAAATGCTTGCAACTAGGGTACTCCCCATTGGAATCCAGTTTCTGTGCTATGAGAAGCCCAAGCCAAGTGGAGAAGCCATTGCCGGCTCTTGCTGACAGCCCCCGCTGAGCTCCGGACCATGCAACTACATCATCTCAGACCTCCAGCCTCGGCGAGCACTTGGATAACTTCACCCCCATCTGACTGTAACTGCATGAGAAAACCCGTGAGTGAGAATGGCTCATCTGAATCCAGCCAACTCACAGCACCGTGAGAAATAATAAGTTGTCATTTTAAGCCACTACATTTTGGTGTGGTTTTTAATTCAGTAATGGAAAACTGTGATACCAACACACCAGAAAAGCCAGAAGGGTGACCCACTATCTCCTCTCTGAAATGTCTCCTCTTTGTTCCTCACCCTCCTTGATTCAGAGAATCTTCGTGTCATGAGGTCTGAAAAATGTCTGTAGCTTACATTAAAACCTCCTGAATGAAAGACCCAGCATGAAGTCCAAGCTCAAAGAGCCTACATCTCTGTCCTCCAGGGCCCCCAGCTCCCTGGGAAAAAAGAGCTGTGATGGGTCCCCGAAGACTGGACTCTTCCTGCTCACCCTCAGCATCTGCATGTAAGCTCTACACTCCTCCTTCTGCCATTGGTTCTCTTGACTTCGCCGCATCCATCTGTACCCAGTGGTAGGGAAGACAGGGTCTGAGCGATCACACACAGTGTCGATGTATAAAAAGGGTTCAGTTTGCCAGATGAAGCTATTCACGCAGAGGACAACAGCAGCCATAGCTGTAGCAAAGCCTGCCAGGGTGAGCAGGCTGGATATATAGCCCTGGAAGAGAAAGAGGGTCATGACACACGCTCCTTCAATCGGTGGAAGAGTCATGAGGTCCCCGCCTCAAATCCCTCTCCTCTTCCCCAGCCCTTGTCCAGGAAACCCTCTCCTCCCCTCCAAGAAAGACCCCAAGATATTGACAACCAAAGGGCAGAAGACAGATAATGGAGCAGAATTCAGGAGGGGGTCAGTGAACAAGGTGGAGAGAGGGTGTCCAAGACTCACAGCAAGTTTGCCCGGGTGCTTCTCATGGACAATGGCCCCAGCTCCTGCTGCGATCACCTGAAAAGAGACACCAGAAAAAGGCCTCCAGTTTACTCTTCTGAATTGGTCTATCATCACCCTCCCACCAGCAGTTCCCAGAATAGCCAATGTGAAGCAGGATCCCAGGGACAGACAAAGAACTCTGACACACAGACCAGGATTCCACCTATACCTGCCCCACCCCTCCCATCTGTCTTCAAGAGAAAAATGGAAGTGACAGGGTTTTAGCTACACCCCAGAGCAGCCTCCTCATGGCCAAAGGCCATTTGGCTCCAGAGACTTTGGTCGCTTCCCCAAAGCCCCAACCAAGATCCATAAGCGCCTTCTTGCCCATCACCACTTGCCTCCCTCCAGGCTCACAGCCTGTTCCTTACTCACCACAGACCCCGCCCAGAAGGCACAGCCTGAGGCACTCAGCACAGTCCAGGGCCCCAAGCTGAGACACACTCCAAGAACACAACTCACAACCCCCAGCAATATCTGAGTCACCTGCAAGACAGGATGAGAAACCAGACCCCTTCCCGTGAGTCCACATGCCCCGGCTGCCCTGGGACCAGCTGCCTGGCTCCTACCTAGGTGGCTCTCCTCTCCTTTTCCTCTGCCTTGACCTCTCTGCAGCTCTGATTCTGGAAGATTCTGTCCCCTTAAAATCCATGAAGCAGCACTGGCCTGGGTCTCCCCTCACCCTTCTCATAGGCTTGGCTATTTATCCTTCATCAATTTTTCCCAACTTCAACACTTTCTCATCCCACCTGAAGATTCCCACTTTTCCCCCCCCATTCTCCTTCAGAGGTCCCATTGTCCCATCCAAACCCCCAGCCTGACCTGAGCTTCTGGCCTATCCTTTCTCTTCAGATCCAAACACACACTCTTGAGGGCTCTGTGGCAGACACAAAGAAGTGCCGCTGAGACCTCCTTCAAGAAAGGGCTTGTTTGATTGCTGACAGCCTGCAGTTGTCAGCTCCTTCAGGGTCACCCTAATTTTTCAAGCTGAAGACACACACTGAGGAGGGCCCCCCAGCCAATGATTAAGCAAGACAGTGGCTCAAGGGCCATCTCCACCCAGTGTGGAACTCCTGCAGTGGGCAACCTTTGCCTGGGAGCTCCCCCACTGGCCTGGCAGAGTCTGCATTGCAGCCTGATGGTTCCTCCTGCTCAATCCTGCTCCCCCTCTTTTCATTTCATAGGTGTCATACCCCAATAAGCCGTTCACACACCCAACTCCGACTCAGAAGAGAACTCCTCTTCTTCCTGGAAAACCCAACTGTCACCACCTCCACATCCTACCAGCATCTCGGATTTGTCACATCCAAATCCCCTACTACCACACACACACACACACACACACACACACACACACACACACCTCTCGAATGGCTGCTCCTCCTGACTTTCAGGGCTCCGATCTCCTGGTCACCCACACTTCAACCCTCTCTGCATGCTGTGAATGCCTCTCTTTCCTTATGCCCCAAACCCCTTCACTCCCATGCCATGGAGGTCTGTGAAGGACAGGGACTCCTTTGTCTCCTCACCATTTCTGCTATGATTATGTGAGTGCAGATCCTCGATCCTTCTCACCTGGATGCCTCCTGACTCTGAGGCAGGTTCCTGCTCAGAATCCATTGACAGCGTTCTCACTGTCAAAGCTGATTCAGGACAGACTCCTCACCTGGTCGTTCAAGGCTCTCAGCAATATGGGCCCAAATCACCCATTCATGAAGCCCATTCCCTTTACTCTTAACCATTATAGAACTTGCCCTATGCCTTCTGGCCTCTTTGCCTTTGCTCCTGCCATTCTTTAACCTGGAATTCTTTTTTGTCCATCTTCCACCTCTGTCTATACCTATTCCTTCTCCATTCAGGGTTCTCCTGCCCTCAAGGATGTCAGATGTGCTTCTCCCTCACCTGATCTACCTTTAGTTCCAGTCATTAGTGTAGCTGCTGTTCCTTCTGATGGTCACTGAGTACTTTTAGATATAGCCCAGGGATTCTCTCTGTAGCTTGGCCTGAAGTGCTGAACACATTGCCTTGCACCTGTAGGCTTTCAGTCCATGTGGGGTCAATAAAACCGAATTAACAGCCTCTAGACTGTTCTTCCTGTTGCCCTACCTCTGGCTGGGACCGACTCCTCTGTGCCAAAGAGGAGGTCGATTCTTCCTTTCCATCCAAATTTCTGTGGGGACACTTACAACTTTTTCCTACACAGAATGAGATATAAATAGTGATTTCTCATGTCCCTCTCATGGGAATTCAACCCACTTTCCTCTTTTGCATCCTATTGAAGAAGGAGAGTTTCCACTGTGAAAGCTGAGCCTACAAATGGGGTCATTCTTGTCACACTCAACTAAAACAGAGTCGAGAGGCCAGGGGCAAAAAGCACTCGGGGCACAAAATGTTGCTCCCAAAATGTAATTCTCTACAAATCAGGCTGCTGAAGCTGCCTGCTGCAACCTGAAACCAGCTTTATCTACAGCTTCTGACCTTGCTACAACTCTAGGATTAGTTTTACTCATGCCATCGCTCACCCATCAGAGCTCACCAGCTCCCCAAAACCTATGATCTTTCATGAAGGGCAATATGTAACATTTCTCCTTTTTATAAGCCTCTAACCTTCTCTTTGTTCTAAAGACATACTGGAGACCACCTGGTCTGTGTGTATGCCCCAAATTGCAATTCTCTCCTCCCAAATAAAACGTTTTAATTTTGAAGATTTGGCTCTATATTTTAATTGACCTCATCACCTCGTTAACGTGCCCCCCAACCCCGCACCACCCCAGTCTTACCCCTAGAGCCAGCTGCTCATAACCAATCCTGGCTGTGGAAGGCACAGTGTCCCCAGGGTGAAAAAGAAACTTCTTCAGAGAACCTCCAGCTTTCAGCAGTTGTGTCAAAGCTGACTCCTGGTGGATGTGGACGTTGACGTGGGTGGGCTGGGATGGCCTAGAGGCCATAGCAACTCCATTCACAATCACCGTGTTTTGCGTCATCCTGCCTGCCAGGGAGAAGACATATAGCAGTGAGGTCTGGGAACTAGGCGAGGGAAAAATACACAGCACAGGTGAAAGGAGAGAAATAGTGTCTTTGTCAAGATCCCAGCTGGGCACAATAGCTCACGCCTGTAATCCCAGTGCTTTGGGAGGCTGAGGTGGGTGGATTACCTGAGGTCAGGAGTTCAAGACCAGCCTGGCCAATGTGGCAAAACTCCCTCTCTACTAAAAATACAAAAATCCGCACGGTGGTGTGCACCTGTAGTCCCAGCTACTCAGGAGGCTGAGGCAGGAGAATCACTTCAACCTGGGAGGCTGAGGTTGCAGTGAGCTCAGATCTTGCCACTGCACTCCAGCCTGGGCAACAGAGTGAGACTCCATCTCAAAAAAAACAAAAACAAACAAACAAACAAACAAAAAACAGTGTCTTTGTCAAAATTCAAAGGGGCTTCCCAGTGCAGATATCAATGGCACTGGAAATCAATAGTGATTTTACACATAAAAAAGTTAAGAGATACAAAAGGGTATATATACCTTTAAAACCTTATCGCTCATCTTTTTCCCTCAACCACCTATTTGCCTTGCAGATGCAAAGTAATATTATCAGTCTCTTATAAATCCTACCATGACATTTTTGCATACAAAAGTGTGAAAAAGTATTTCTGCCCCCTTTTCCCACAAATAGCAGCATACTATACACACTGATTTGCATGATGCTGTGATCACACGATCATATGTTTTTAGAATAATCCTACATGAGTCCATAAAAAGTGTCAACCTAAATAACAGAGAGAGGCTCTCCAAAAGAAAATGAGATTGATTCTGGAATAGGGCATTGCAATGAGAATATGCTTACCATAGTAAATCATGTGCACGTTCAGGGAGGTAAAGGAAGACAAAGGTTTTTAAAGGAAAAATGGGGAGACTTACATAATCTCTTTGAGGTGATCATCCTTGGCTACAAGGATCAATAACAAGGGTGACACAAGTCCAGGGTTAGACAGGCAGTTGCTGGTGGATGTCCTCACAGAAGTATTTTTTTGTGTAAGGTTGTCATTTTACAGAGTCCTTTGTGATGACTTTTGTTCCCAGGTTATTTACGCATGAGAACCCTGCCTTGTGGGCCTTCCATTTTCAGATTTTTTTTTTAACTCAAGTGACTCGATTATGATTCTGACAACTTTCACAAAAGCTTCTTCACTCATTTGTGTAACTGCATATATTTTGAGAGTATGAATTCCTCATAATTTATTTAAGTGGTTCCCTATTGGCAGACATTTAGGTTATTTCTAATCCTTTTCCATTACAGACAATGTGGAATTGGCAGGGCACCAGGAATGCGCATTTGCAATTTTAGTAGATATTGTCAGTTATCCTCCACGGAGGTGGTAGCAATTCACATGCAGGAGGCAAACTCTTTTATCTTTTTCCTTTTATATGGGGAAAAATGCATTGATTTTAATCAATTTTATGTAATAAAAATGTCCCATTTTAAATGTATATCTCAACGAGTTTTGACAAATTTACACATTTGTGCAATTACAGCTACAATCAAGATAAAGGACATTCCTACACAGCAATACATTCCCTAAAGCCCCTCCCCAGAAAATACCCCCAACCACTGGCCATGAGCAACCACTGACCTGCTTTCTGTAATGATTTCCATATATTTTTAATCCATGGTTTTCTTTTATTTCATTTTTTTATTATGTATTTATTTATTTATTCATTTTTTGAGATGGAGTCTCGCTCTGTCGCCCAGGCTAGGGTGGCGCGATCTCGGCTCACTGCCAGCTCCACCTCCCGGGTTCACGCCATTCTCCTGCCTCAGCCTCCCGAGTAACTACAGGCGCCCGCCATCAAGCCCAGCTAATTTTTTGTATTTTTAGTAGAGACGGGGTTTCACCGTGTTAGCCAGGATGGTCTCGATCTCCTGACCTCATGATCCGCCCGCCTCGGCCTCCCAAAGTGCTGAGATTACAGGCGTGAGCCACCGCGCCCGGCCAGTTCTCTTTTTTTAGAGAGAGAGATGGGGTGTTGCTTTGTTGCCCAGGGTGGTCTCAAACTCCTGGACTCAAGCAATCCTCCCACCTCAGCCTCCCAAAGTGCTGCAATTACAGGTGTGAGCCACCACGCCTGGCCCATAGTTCTCTTATTATGAGTGAGGTTGGTTGTCTTTTCATATGTTCAGGGCCATTTTTATTTCTTCTTTTGTGAGCTCTCCGTTCACATCCTATGTCCTTGTTTCGTTTTGTTTTGTTTTGCTTTTTTCTATGGAAGTTCTTTATCTATTCACAAAATTACCGTTTGTGATATGAGTTTCAAATGTTTCTTTACAATTTGAAGTTTATTTTTTGACCTTGCTTGTATATTCATACAATCCATGTTCTATTTCATTCTATTTATGGTGTCTAGCTCTTACACTTTTAAAGGACTTCCCCGTTTCGAGATTATAAAATAATCTTCCACATTTTCTTCTAAGTGCCTTTATGCTTTCAGTTTTCACTTTTAAATGCCGACCATCTGGAATTTGGGAGCTGGGTGACCAACCTTCGCCGTTGGGAGACACGGATCCAAGTTCTGTTGCTGTCATTCAGATGTTTAACTTCTGAAAGATACGTTCCATTTGCGGAAAATACATCCTCTTTTTCTCAGTGATTTAAAATTCTCTCCTGAGCAGAAATGAAGTTCCCCTAGGAATGTAGGCCTATTCTAGTCCTTATATTCTGCCCATTGGCATGTCTCATGGGCTAGGCATCATTACCACAATTTTAACATGGAGCTTAATGCTAATTGGGCTGTTTCATGATCCCCTCGTGTGGTTTTTCTTTCAGAATTGTCATGGCCATTTTTGCTAGACTACTTCTTCACATGCACTTTAGAATCAGCTTGCCTGGCTCTAAAATAAATCCTGCATAGGCAATTCTAATGGACATCCTGGCTAAGTATCACAGTTTAAATCAAATATTATTAACAATTCTAATAACACCTCCCATTCGTACTCTACCTACTTTTCAAAGCAGTTTCACTCTTTCACCCACCTGGCCTCCTTGGGGTTAGAAAGGACAGGAGTTAGACAATTCCGCACACGTACAAAGGAGCTTCAGACTGCTTCCAGCCCAGCCCCAGATTCCAGCCAGACCTTCCCTTGACGGCCCAGGCCTCGCCCTGAGGGCACCTCGGGTTCCAGCTACCTCCGGGCCCCCAGGACCACCGCTTCCCCCGCCCCACGCCAACCCCTAGATCTGCCTCGCCCCCGCCTGAAGAGTCGGATCTGAACCAGGCCGGCACCACGGAGATTCCCCTGCGGGCCGCCCGACGCCTGGTAGGTGGTGGGCTCTTCCCGGCTGCCCCGAACACTTTCCTCTGTCCAGCTCTTCCCGTGCCCCGGGGCTGGGGAAAGCGTCCGGCAGCCCCGCCGCTCCCTGGCCCCGTCCCAGGAGCCACCCCACCGTAGGGCTCCAGCCAGGGTCCAGGCGTGCAGGCGGCAGAAGGTGGACGGGACGCGCCAGCCCCAGGCCTCTCCTCCCGCTCTCCAGCCGTTTTTCTGGGGAGAAACACCTGCACCCAGCTGTCCCTCCCTCCTACGTGAGTCCTCCTGGAAACCAGGTTGGAGGAAGAAAGACGTCCTGTGGACAGGACGGGGTGGGGGCATGGCCCTGGGGACTCCTCGTGACAGAGGGTCCTGCGGCAAGAGGGTCTCCCGGGCCGCGGAGGCCCTGCCTCACCTGCAGTCCTCCGGGAGCCCGCGGCCGAGCAGAGCGGACACTAGCTGACCCCGAGCAGGGGAGCGACGGGAGGGCGGAGACGGCAGATGCACGGGTGGGGGCTGCGGCCCCGCCCAGGCTGCGCGGTTTCCCGAAACCAGCTGCGGCCCGGGGGCCCGGCAAAGGGGGTTCCGCCCGGAGGAGCGGACCGGGCGGGAGAAGACCGAGCCCCCGCGCGCCCCCTGCGCTCCCACTCGCGCACACTTGCACGCCGGCCCTGGCCGGGCGGGGCTGGAGGCGAGAACGACCCCACGGGCTTTCCCAGGGCCGTCCGCCCGCGGACCCTCCCAGCTCCCCAGAGCCCAGTGACCCTCGCGCAGCAGGAGAACCCCAGACGGACCCCAGGCCCTGCAGCCTGTCATGAACCCGAGGGGCTGAAGTTCAGCCCCACCCCCGCCTCCCCTCCCCGCCTCCCCCTCCAACTCTCAACCCACTTCTCCAGCCAGCGCCCCAGCCCTCCCGCCGCCCGCTCGCAGGTCCCGAGGAGCGCAGGTGAGGCGGCACCCCACTCCCGGCGGCCCCCGGGCCTCCTTCCGCACGCACCCCGAGCTGCCTCCGCACAGTTGGAGGAGCGTAGGAGGGACCCCCACCCAGGGATGACACTCCAGGAAGGGGACTGCAGAGGAAGCCAGGTGCGGCCCCGGCTTTTGACCTACCTCCGCACCGCAGCGCGGTCCTTCACGGGGCAGGGGCGGCGTGAACCCGTCGGGCGTGAGCAGCAGTCGGTGGAGCGGGAGGTCGGCGGTGGCGGGGATGGGGGTATCCGGAGCGCAGCCGGGGCGCAGCTGCTGGCACAGGAGCTCCACAGGCAGCCAAGGACTCGGTCCTGTCCCAGAGCCTGCGGACTGTGGAGGGGAGGCCGCAGGAAGAGCCCGGGAGGAGGGGGTGAGGGGTCGAGGTGTGGGGCGCTGCTTGACCCAGACGCCAGGGCCCTGGGAGGAGGATGAGGGGGACAGAGCAGATCTTGGGCGAAAGGGGAGGTTCCCGCAGGCTCTGTAGTCGCCGCAGTTCCAGCATGGTCAGCACCCCCTCTGCTACACACATTCCCCTCGTGAGGGGCCAGGGGTGCGGCCCTGTGACCAGGACAGCCATTCATTGGGTGACTTTGAGCCACCACTGGCCCCTGACCTCCCCAACTCCAATGAAATCTGCGAAAATCTTCTGACAGCCGTTCCTCTCTGGTGCTCCCTTCCTCATAGACTGTGTCCCTGACAATGGGAACAGCCGACAGTGATGAGATGGCCCCGGAGGCCCCACAGCACACCCACATCGATGTGCACATCCACCAGGAGTCTGCCCTGGCCAAGCTCCTGCTCACCTGCTGCTCTGCGCTGCGGCCCCGGGCCACCCAGGCCAGGGGCAGCAGCCGGCTGCTGGTGGCCTCGTGGGTGAGTGTGACGGCCTGCCTCGTCGGGCGGCGGGAGGAACTCCCCACCTCCAGCCGCAGCAGCACTCTCTGCCAGCCTCCCTCTGAACAGGACACCGAGCCAGTTATGTCTTCTTACTTAGCGATGTGATTCTCTGGCCTTCTCAGTAAGAGCCTGGGGAGGGGAGGCTCTGGGCTGAAGGGGTGTGGAGGAGCCACTGACCATGCAGAGTCCCAATCAGTGGAGCCCTGAGTCCATCCTTTCCTCTGGGCCAAACTCAGGATGGGCCGGCTCTCCTCTCCTTCCTTTCCCTTCTCTTTTCTCCTCCTCCTGCCTCTTCTTCTTTCTCCTTCTCCTCCTCTTTCTTCTCCTTTTCTCTTCTCTTCTCTTCTCTTCTCTTCTTTCTTTCTCTCTCTCTCTACCTCTCCCTCTCTTTTTGGGGTTTTAGCGGTTAATCCCTGCAGTGGCAGGTCCACCTAGGAGCCGGGATCTTGGGTCCTTTGTCTTTCAGGTGATGCAGATCGTGCTGGGGATCTTGAGTGCAGTCCTAGGAGGATTTTTCTACATCCGCGACTACACCCTCCTCGTCACCTCGGGAGCTGCCATCTGGACAGGGGCTGTGGTGAGTAGAGCAGGACAGTGCTTGACTGCCTGTGAGAGGGGTGGGGCATTGCTCTCCTGATTGCCTTCCTCCAACATGGCGCCACAGAATGCTGGCAGTCGGAGAGATCTGATTATCTAGGACCATTCCCTGCCTGTTCAGATGAGCAAACAGCTGAGGGCGGTGGTGGCATGTCCTATTCACACTGTCTGCTCTCCCATACCCTTCCCAGTGCTGTTCCCACCAGGCTGGCTGCCTCTCCCTGCCTTCAACAGTTAATGTCAACTAAGGATCTAAGGACCTGCTCATCTCCAGATACTTGCATTGAGATGGGGAAGGCAGAGCGTTCCAGATAGTATGTGGTCCCCCAGGAAGCATCACCCCCTGGTTATTCTCATTGTCCTCCACAGGCCCTGTACACAATGGAAACCCAGGAATTGTTGTCAACAGATGGGTGTGTGCAGTTTGCACAGGAGCTGGGTAGGCTGGTCATGGTACCTACACTCTCAGAATAGCACTAAAACACTCATATTTACTGACAGAAGCCGAGAGTAATTACCTTCACCCAGCCTGTGGCAAAATACCCAGCTTAATTACAGAATTAGCCAAACAGGATTCAGGTCCACCTGTCCACTGGGACATACTAGATTTCCTGTTCTTCAAGCCCAGCTGAGTGGATTATTGGGCACTGTTAGGACAGGCTTCTAGACCTAACAGTGCCCACTCTGTATAGACTCACCCTTCATTGAGATCTTCTCCAGCACCCCATGACTTTTATCCACAGGATCCCACCATCCCTAGAACTTTCATAAAGCACTTGGTGTTGTTTAAAAAGGAAGGTTTAGAAGGGAAGAGGGGCTCACACCTGGCTTGACCACAAGCTCTTAGGTGTCACTAAAGCAGGGCCTTTTGCAGCCTCAGGAGTTGGATCCAGGCTCCACCCTCTCAGCAATTATCTTACCATGGATAATAAAGCTTAGCATGAAACCTCCCGCCCAAGCTGTGTGCTGGGGAAGGGCCTGCATGGAGGCTCTCTCGTGGGAGAGGAGTTGCATTTCCTGTACTAAGCCTGCTCCTGGCTCAATCTCTCCCCAGGCTGTGCTGGCTGGAGCTGCTGCCTTCATTTACGAGAAACGGGGTGGTACATACTGGGTAAGTTCAGGGAAGGGCATGGGAGGGGACCAGGTTCAGGCTGGAGGTCACCCCAATCTCCTGCCCTGTTGCAGGCTTCTCTGGGCCTTGCCCTTTTTTCCCCCGACTGGACTCTGAGAGAGACTGAAACACAAAGATTTCTCTCTGCCTCCTCCCTCCCCAGGCCCTGCTGAGGACTCTGCTAACGCTGGCAGCTTTCTCCACAGCCATCGCTGCCCTCAAACTTTGGAATGAAGATTTCCGATATGGCTACTCTTATTACAACAGTGCCTGCCGCATCTCCAGCTCGAGTGACTGGAACACTCCAGCCCCCACTCAGAGTCCAGAAGAAGTCAGAAGGCTACACCTATGTACCTCCTTCATGGACATGCTGAAGGTAGGTGGCCAAGGGGAAGGGGCAGCAGCAGGTGGGGCAGGGATGGCCAGGCCAGGCCAGGGGCAAGAGTCAGGTTCTCCACCAGAAATAGGTGTTACCTATTCTGCACCAAGCTTGCGTATTGTCACCAAAGACAAAGCATCAGACAAAATAGAAATGGCTCCTGTAGGGTGTTACAGACAAGTGGGAAATACAAGCATTAAAATAATAATAAATGAACCACTATAGCAAGTGTGCCAAGTGCTGCAAAGGTGTTAAATGCATGTTTTCCCTTGATCCTCTGAAGTCTTGGAGGTTATCAGGGAATCAAATCATAGCCCAAACCTGTCACTGTACAAATGAGGACACAGGCCCAATGTGAGCAGTTTCCAGCTGTATTCTGTACATTGAATGCATTGACTTCCCCTCCAGAAGCCACGAACTTGGAGATAAAGGGGTAGAGATTTTCCCAGGTCAATAAGGAGCATGGGGACAGAGCAGGAAGGCAGCTGTCATCCTGGTGCTTATGGCCTTGGCCCTCTGTCCCCAGGCCTTGTTCAGAACCCTTCAGGCCATGCTCTTGGGTGTCTGGATTCTGCTGCTTCTGGCATCTCTGACCCCTCTGTGGCTGTACTGCTGGAGAATGTTCCCAACCAAAGGGGTGAGTCCCTAAGGTGTGTGCCTGTGTATTTGGGGCAGTGGAACTGCTCAAAGGAGACAGGAATGGACAGTGGACAGTTTGGGGAGGAGAAAGGGGCCCATGACCCAAGTCCCACCTATTATCATGCCTGTCTTTCTACCCAGTGGTGGCCCAGCCCAGAAAGCCCCTATCCCCAACCAAGTGGCCCCCAAGTCAAAGAGCCCAGGAATCCAGGGAAGTCCATATCCATGCTATGCCTTTGGATCAGGTACCATGCTGCTGATTCTGGTAGCTCCAGAGCTAAGCTGCCCCTGGAGGAGAGACTCCGCCCTTTCTCTCCCACTCACGATTGTCTTGCCTTTCCTCTTCCATTAGAAAAGAGACCAGAAGGAAATGTTGGAAGTGAGTGGAATCTAGCCATGCCTCTCCTGATTATTAGTGCCTGGTGCTTCTGCACCGGGCGTCCCTGCATCTGACTGCTGGAAGAAGAACCAGACTGAGGAAAAGAGGCTCTTCAACAGCCCCAGTTATCCTGGCCCCATGACCGTGGCCACAGCCCTGCTCCAGCAGCACTTGCCCATTCCTTACACCCCTTCCCCATCCTGCTCCGCTTCATGTCCCCTCCTGAGTAGTCATGTGATAATAAACTCTCATGTTATTGTTCCCAGGTTCTCGCTTAGTTATTCCAGGGAATTTCTCTTGGCTGGAGGAGGAAGTGGAGAAGGAGCCAATGGCAAACCTCCCACAGCTCCCCAACCTCCTGCCTCAGGCTAGAGTTGCTGGCCCTGGAGCTAGAACCTCTTTGAGGCTGATCCTGTGGCTATAGGTTCAAAAGCCTAGGAATAAAGGATGAACGGGGCTGAGACTCTGAGCCCACTCCCTACCACTCACATTTAAGAAGGTGAATGCTTGGCAATTTAAGAATTAGATTTTTTTTTATTGTGACTGTTTGAAAAAATTAAGTAGACAACATAACACCGATAGGACATCCAACAACATAGAAAGGACATCCAACAACATGGCAAAATAGAAACCCTTACAAATTGCCCCATAAAAAATCCTAAAACTCCTTGATAAAATATGAATCATGTATTTTTAAATTCATGACTATGAACCAAGAAAAAGATGGAGGCCATCAAAGCCTATAGTAGAAGTAGGGGCAAGAATTCAGAGAGTAGAAGCCAGTATCTGCCTGTGTCAGTCCCACAACCACCCACATACTCAGTGTTCCACTTGAAGGACCCACAGGGCTCAGCATGTAGTTGTGTTCATGGCTAAGTTATATTATAGTAAAAGGATACACAAGGTGGGGAAAGAACACATTAGGCGGACTCTGGAAGAATCCGGCACAGGCTTCCTATATCTTCCCACGGTGAGAGGCCACACAGTAACACAGCAGTGTTTCTGCCCAGGGAAACCCACCTAAGACTCAAAGACCAGGGTTTTTATTGAGAGCTGGCCACATAGGCACTCCCTCCACCTGCACAGCTACTGCAATTCCAGACTCCCAGAGGAAAAGCAGGTGTCCACCTGAAATCATATTGTACAGTCTAGGCAAGCTGATAGACTGGAATTTAGTAGGCAGGCATACAAAACCACCTTATCAGCCAAGGAACATTCCAGAAGCCCAATTCCTAGAAGACAGCCAAGGGTAGCAAAACCTTGTAAAGGGTGACCCTCTGTGTTAACTCTTTCTTGCACACTGCCCTAAGGGCATCTGCCAACCTCTTGCAACCCAAAACTGCACTTAATAACTATGTGAAAGACAGTAAATGAAGCCTAGAGCCACTTAAGCTGGAGAGTTACAGTGAAGGACCCAGTATAAATCTTCACTTTCAGAGGACATTTGGGAAAAAATCCACTCCTTTGAGGGAGATGACAAGTAAACTCTTGGTGAAAGGAGTCAGATGAAGATTCGTGAATACAAGCCGGCCCTAACATGGACTTATGGATGGAATTCCCACTCCTTGGATAAACCCCCAAACCCTGAGAAAATAATTTAAAGGTTCTCAAGATGGTAGTGACCCCTGACACCTGTCAGAAACAAATGCAAATTCTGCTGGAGAAATTTACCTTCAACTAAACCCTTAAATGATCAGCATGACTATATTTTTTAAAGTGAGACAAATAAATAGAAAGCAAAAAAAAGATGATGATTATAAATTAAGTTTATGAGTAACTGCAATAAATATAAATGGATAAAATAGTCCATTTGAACCAGATAGACAGACTGTATTTTTATAAAACTCATCCATATGCTAGTTACACAAAACACAACTAAAGCAAAGATACAGAAAGATAGTAAAAGGATGGGGAAAAAAGATATAACAACCAAATTAGTATGGCTGTATTCAAGAGCATTGCCAGAGACAAAGAGGCCGCTCACGGTCAATCCAATCGTCATTCTCTCTTCCTTACTAATAGAAATCCAGTTTTGTTTTGTTTTTAAGTTGCTACTACCAGCCTTCCTTGCAACTGAGGATTGCAGTGACCCACACTCTCAGCCAATGAGAAGTCAAGAGAATTCACTGGGAACAGAAAGAATTGGTTGGTTTCCCTACTTTCTGCTCCCTGCTTCCTCCCCTTCTCCCAGGAATCAGGACCCCATACCTGGCACTGGAGGAGCCATCTTGTGGCTAAGCGGGTAATAGTCAGAGGTTGGAAATGATACAAAAGACTAAGGAGGCTGGACCCTCAACAACATTAATTGAATATGCCCAACGAATCCTGGATACTTACCTTTGAACAGCTCTATATGACAAAAATAAATGCCTTGCTGGCTTTTTTTAAGGAAAAAAAAAAATTTTTAATTTACAGTAGCAACAAAACTATAAGATACTTAGAAATAAATCTAGACACTCAAGACTGGTAAAGAAAATCATAAAACTTTATTGAAAAACATTAATGAATACCTAAATTAAATAAAAAAGACATATACTATGTCCACAGGTGAGAGGACTCCATTTTGTAAAGATGGCATCTCCCTCCAAATTGATGCATAAATTCAGTGCAATCCAAATCAAAATCTCACCAGAGTTTTCTTAGTATGTGATTGGCCAATTCTCAACTTCATACAAAAGATCAAAAAATCAAGAATGTTGGTGTGTTCCAAGATAGCCAAATAGGAACAGCTCCGGTCTGCAGTTCCCAATGTGATCATTGCAGAAGATGGGTGATTTCTGCATTTCCAACTGAGGTACCTGCCTCATGTCATTGGGACTGGTTGGACAGTGGGTGCAGCCCACAGAGGGTGAGCCGAAGCAGGGCAGGGCATTGCCTCACCAGGGAAGCGCAAGGGGTTGGGGGATTTTCCTTTCCTAGCCAAGGGAAGCCATGACAGACTATACCTGGAAAAATGGGACATTCCCGCCTAAATACTGTGCTTTTCCAACAGTCTTAGCAAACAGCACAGCAGGAGATTATATCCCATGACTGGCTTGGAGGGTCCCACGCCCACAGAGCCTTGCTCACTGCTAGCACAGCAGTCTGAGATCAACCTGCGAGGCAGCAGCCTGGCAGGGGGAGGGACGTCCGCCATTGCTGAGGCTTGAGTAGGTAAACAAAGCAGCTGGGGAAGCTTGAACTGGGCAGAGTCCACCGCAGCTCAGCAAGGCCTGCTTTCTCTGTTGACTCCACCTCTGGGGGCAGGGCATAGCTGAACAAAAGGCAGCAGAAACTTCTGTAGACTTAAACCTCCCTGTCTGACAGCTGTGAAGAGAGCAGTGGTTCTCCCAGCACAGCGTTTGAGCTCTGAGAACTGACAGACTGCTTCCTCAAGTGGGTCCCTGAGCCCTGTGTGGCTTAACTGGGAGACACCTCCCAGTAGGGGCCGACTGACACCTCGTACAGGCAGGTGCCCCTCTGGGACAAAGCTACCGGAGGAAGGATCAGGCAGCAATATTTGCTGTTCTGCAATATTTCCTGTTCTGCAGCCTCCGCTGGTGATACCTAGGCAAACAAGGTCTGGAGTGGACCTCCAGCAAACTCCAACAGACCTGCAGCTGAGGGACCTGACTGTTAGAAGGAAAACTAACAAACAGAAAGGAATAGCATCAACATCAAGAAAAAGGACATCCACACCAGAACCCCATCTGTAGGTCACCAACATCAAAGACCAAAGGTAGATAAAACCACAAAAATGGAGAGAAACCTGAAAAGCTGAAAATTCTAAATAACAGAGCGCCTCTTCTCCTCCAAAGGATCGCAGCTCCTTGCCAGCAATGGAACAAAGCTGGATAGAGAATGACTTTGATGAGATGACAGATAGGCTTCAGAAGGTCAGTAATAACAAACTTCTCTGAGCTAAAGGAGGATGTTCGAATTCATCGCAAGGAAGCTAAAAACCTTGAAAAAAGATTAGACAAATGGCTAACTAGAATAAACAGTGTAGAGAAGAGCTTAAATGACATAATGGAGCTGAAAACCATGGCACGAGAACTACGTGAAGCATGCACAAGCTTCAGTAGCCGATTTGATCAAGTGGAAGAAAGGGTATCAGTGATTGAAGATCAAATTAATGAAATAAAGTGAGAAGAAAAGTTTAGAGGGAAAAGAGTAAAAGGAAACAAACAAAGCCTCCAAGAAATATGGGACTATGTGAAAAGACCAAATCTACATTTGATTGGCGTACCTGAAAGTGACAGGGAGAATGGAACCACACTGGAAAACACTCTTCAGGATATCATCTAGGAGAACTTCCCCAACCTAGCAAAGCAGGCCAACATTCAAATTCAGGAAATACAGAGAACACCACAAAGATAATCCTTGGGAAGAGCAACCCCAAGAAACATAATTGTCAGATTCACCAAGGTTGAAATGAAGGAAAAAATGTTGAGGGCAGCCAAAGAGAAAGGTCAGGTTACCCACAAAGGGAAGCCCATCAGACTAACAGTGGATCTCTCGGCAGAAACTCTACAGGCCAGAAGAGAGTGGGGGACTATATTCAACATTCTTAAAGAAAAGAATTTTCAACCCAGAATTTCATATCTTGCCAAACTAAGCTTTATCAGTCAAGGAGAAATAAAATCCTTTACAGAAAAGCAAATGCTGAGAGATTTTGTCACCACCAGGCCTGCCTTACAAGAGCTCCTGAAGAAAGCACGAAACACGGAAAGGAACAACCAGTACCAGCCACTGCAAAAACATGCCAAATTGTAAAGACCATTGATGCTATGAAGAAACTGCATCAACTAACTGGCAAAATAACCAGATAACATCATAATGTCAGGATCAAATTCATACATAACAATATTAACCTTAAATGTAAATGAGCTTAATGCCCCAATTAAAAGACACAGACTGGCAAATTGGATAAAGAGTCAAGACCCATCAGTGTGCTATATTCAGGAGACCCATCTCACATACAGAGACACACATAGGCTCAAAATAAAGAGATGAAGGAAGATCTACCAAGCAAAGGGAAAGAAAAAAAAAAAAAAGCAGAGGTTGCAATCCTAATCTCTGACAAAACAGACTTTAAACCAACAAAGATCAAAAGAGACAAAGAAGGCCATTACATAACGGTAAAGGGAGCAACTCAACAAGAAGAGCTAACTATCCTAAATATATATGCACCCGATACAGGAGCACCCAGATTCATAAAGCAAGTCCTTAGAGACCTACAAAGAGACTTAGACGCCTACACAATAATAATGGGAGACTTTAACACCCTACTGTCAATATTAGACAGATCAACAAGACAGAAGGTTAACAAGGATATCCAGGACTTGAACTCAGCTCTGCACCAAGCAGACCTAATAGACATCTACAGAACCCTCCACCCCAAATCAACAGAATATACATTCTTCTCAGCACCACATCGCACTTATTCCGAAATTGACCACATAGTTGGAAGTAAAGCACTCCTCACCAAATGTAAAAGAACAGAAATCACAGCAAACTGTCTCTCAGACCACAGTGCAATCAAATTAGAACTCAGGATTAAGAAACTCCCTCAAAACCACACAACTACATGGAAACTGAACAACCTGCTCCTGAATGACTACTGGGTAAATAACAAAATGAAGGCAGAAATAAAGATGTTCTTTGAAACCAATGAGAACAAAGACACAATGTACCAGCATCTCTGGGACACATTTAAAGCAGTGTGTAGAGGTAAATTTATAACACTAAATGCCCACAAGAGAAAGCAAGAAAGATCTAAAATTGACACCCTAACATCACAATTAAAAGAACCAGAGAAGCAAGAGCAAACGAATTCAAAAGCTGGCAGAAGGCAAGAAATAACTAAGATCAGAGCAGAACAGAAGGAGATATAGACACAAAAAATACCCTTCAAAAAATCAATGAATCCAGAAGCTGGTTTTTTGAAAAGATCAACAAAATTGATAGACCGCTAGTAAGACTAATAAAGAAGAAAAGAGAGAAGAATCAAATAGACGCAATAAAAAATGATAAAGGGGATATCACCACTGATCCCACAGAAATACAAACTACCATCAGAGAATACTATAAATACCTCTATGCAAATAAACTAGAAAATCTAGAAGAAACGGATAAATTCCTGGACACATACGCTGTCCCAAGATTAAACCAGGAAGAAGTTGAATCTCTGAATAGACCAATAACAGGCTCTGAAATTGAGGCAATAATCAATAGCCTACCCACCAAAAACAGTCCACAACCAGACAGATTCACAGCCGAATTCTACCAGAGGTACAAAGAGGAGCTGGTACCATTTCTTCTGAAACTATTCCAATCAATAGAAAAAGAGGGAATCCTCCCTAACTCATGTTACGAGGCCAGCATCACTCTGATACCAAAGCCTGACAGAGACACAACAAACAAAGAGAATTTTAGACCAATATCCTTGATAAACATTGATGCAAAAATCCTCAATAAAATACTGGCAAACTGAATCCAGCAGCACATCACAAAGCTTATCCACCACAATCAAGTCAGCTTCATCCCTGGGATGCAAGGCTGGTTCAACATATGCAAATCAATAAACATAATCCATCACATAAACAGAACCAAGGTAAAAAACCACAATTATCTCAATAGATGCAGAAAAGGCCTTCAACAAAATTCAACGGCCCTTCATGCTAAAGACTCTTAATAAACTACGTATTGATGGAACGTATCTCAAAATAATAAGAGCTATTTATGACAAACCCACAGCCAATATCATACTGAATGGGCAAAAACTGGAAGCATTGCCCTGAAAACTAGCACAAGATAGGGATGCCCTCTCTCACCACTCCTATTCAACATAGTGTTGGAAATTCTGGCCAGGGCAATCAGGCAAGAGAAAGAAATAAAGGGTATTCAATTAGGAAAAGAGGAAGTCAAATTATCCCTGTTTGCAGATGACATGATTGTATATTTAGAAAACCCCAACGTCTCAGCCCAAAATCTCCTTAAGCTGATAAGCAACTTCAGCAAAGTCTCAGGATACAAAATCAGTGTGCAAAAATCACAAGCATTCCTATACACAAATAACAGAAAAACAGAGAGCCAAATCACGAGTGAACTCCCATTCACAATTGCTACAAAGAGAATAAAATACCTAGGAATGCAACTTACAAGGGATGTGAAGGACCTCTTCAAGGAGAACTACAAACCACTGCTCAACAAAATAAAGGAGGTCACAAACAAATGGAAGAACATTCCCTGCTCATGGATGGGAAGAATCAATATCGTGAAAATGGCCATACTGCCCAAGATAATTTACAGATTCAATGCCATTCCCATCAAGCTGCCAATGATTTTCTTCACAGAATTGGAAAAAACTACTTTAAAGTTCATATGGAACCAAAAAAGAGCCCACATAACCAAGACAATCCTAAGCAAAAAGAACAAAGCTGGAGGCATCACGCTACCTCACTTCAAACTATACTACAAGACTACAGCAACCAAAACAGCATGGTACTGGTACCAAAACAGAGATATAGACCAAGGGAACAGAACAGAGGCCTCAGAAATGACACCACACATCTACAACCATCTGATCCTTGACAAACCTGACAAAAACAAGAAATGGGGAAAGGATTCCCTATTTAATAAATGGTGCTGGGAAAACTGGCTAGCCATATGTAGAAAGCTGAAACTGGATCCCTTCCTTACGCCTTATACAAAAATTAATTCAAGATGGATTAAAGACTTAAATGATAGACCTAAAACCATAAAAGCCCTAGAAGAAAACCTAGGCAATACCATTCAGGACATAGGCATGGGCAAGGACTTCAAGACTAAAGCACCAAAAGCAATGGCAACAAAAGCCAAAATTGACAAATGGGATCTAATTAAACAAAAGAGCTTCTGCACAGCAAAAGAAACTACCATCAGAGTGAACAGGCAACCTACAGAATGGGAGAAAAATTTTGCAATCTACCCATCTCACAAAAGGCTAATATCCAGAATCTTTAAAGAACTTAAACAAATTTACATGAAAAAAACAACCCCATCAAAAAGTGGGCAAAGGATATGAACAGACACTTCTCAAAAGAAGACATTTATGCAGCCAACAGACACATGAAAAAATGCTCATCATCACTGGTCATCAGAGAAATGCAAATCAAAACCACAGTGAGATACCATCTCACACCAGATAGAATGGTCGTCATTAAAAAGTCAGGAAACAACAGATGCTGGAGAGGGTGTGGAGAAACAGAAACACTTTTACACTGTTGGTGGGAGTGTAAACTAGTTCAACCATTGTGGAAGACAGTGTGGTGATTCCTCAAGGATCTAGAACTAGAAATACCATTTGACCCAGCGATCCCATTACTGGGTATATACCCAAAGGATTATAAATCATGCTACTATAAAGACATATGCACACGTATGTTTACTGCGGCACTATTCACAATAGCAAACACTTGGAACCAACCCAAATGTCCATCAATGATAGACTGGGTTAAGAAAATGTGGCACATATACACCATGGAATACTATGCAGCCATAAAAACAGATGAGTTCATGTCCTTTGCAGGGACATGGATGAAGCTGGAAACCATCATTCTGAGAAAACTATCACAAGGACAGAAAACCAAACACCGCATGTTCTCACTCATAGGTGGGAATTTAACAATGAGAACATTTGGACACAGTGCAGGGAACATCACACACCAGGGCCTATCATGAGGTGTGGGGCTGGGGGAGGGATAGCATTAGGAGAAATACCTAATGTAAATGACGAGTTAATGGGCACAGCAAACCAACATGGCACATGTATACCTATGCAACAAACCTGCACATTGTGCACATGTACCCTAGAACTTAAAGTATAGTAATAAAAAAAAATTCACCAAACACCACAAAAAAAATCAAGAATGTCAAAGAAAATTTCCACGTCCCCCGAAATCCAAATAAATAGTTAGACAAAGCAGGGAGTTAAACCAGACTATGGCCCCAGTTGGCAAAGCTGTCCCAAGGACGACAGGGGGAATAAAGCTGGCATGGTGCTCTGTAACAGCTCTGAGCTTGCAGTCAGAGACATGAGCACAAATCTCAGCACTGCCACTTCCTAGCTCCTTGACCTACCTACAAAACCTCCTGAGCAACAGTCTTTGTATTTGTAAAATGTGGATAATTGTATCTAAAACCCAAGGCTAATGTGAGGATCAAATGATACATATAAATATAGAAGTGTCTAAAAACTGGACACCCTACAGTATGAATTACTCAAATAAATGTGGATTACTAACAAAAAAAATTGGGGAGAACAGAAAGTACTCAACAATCCCCAAATCCTCTCTCCTCCCTACTTCAAAGGAAGTATAACAGAGTCCCCAAATGGGAATATAATCTCCTTTGGTCAAACTTCTAGAATGGGCATGCGGAAAACCAGAGCTATATACATCATCAGTGGGACTGACTATGCAGACACCACAGAAGGTGCATGAAGTGGCCTTTGGCAGAGACTGGTGTTGTTCCCCAATTTTCATTCTTTCTTCCTTTATTTCTTGTAATAGGTCCCTCGGAAAAAAAACTGGGCATATAGCTTCTTGGAATGGAGACTAGATTTCCCAGCCTCCTTTGGCGACTTAATTCTAAGCAATAAGATTTAAGAGGAAATAGTGTGTGTGTGTCCTGGGAACATCCTTTAAGAGAGAGATGCCCTTTGCCCCCATGATCTCTTTTGACGCTTGGAGTGCAGGTGTGATAGCAGCAGTATAATGAATGCTTATAATTTTATTTGTCTCAGCATTAATTTTCAATATTAACTGGACTTTCCCATACCAGCAACAGAGCTCAGTTACCCTCGATACAGTTTCCAGTTCTATACTTGATCCCAGTTCTCCTGTGTGGCCAATCCAGATAGCTGCCTTATACAACTGCCTCCTGGTGACCAGCTCACTATGGGTCAACTGGATACACCCTGTTCCACTGGCCCTGCTGACGCCCACACCCTGTATCGACCGTGCAGACATGCTGCAGTGACCACCTCTGCATGCTCCTGGAACTCAGGCCTGCTTGCTCTAAATCCACCAACTAAAACTCCCTGTGGGAAACCTATTTAAATAATGCCCTGGACCCAATAAAGGGATCCTTTTCTCTCTGTCTCTGCCTGTGCTGCCTGACCTCCAGGCATGCCATGTAGCCCCCAGGGTCTGCAAGTACTAAAATCTCTTAAATTGTCACATTGTGGTTGTGTCATTGAAGCCATGCTTGAAATCTGACCCCTATGGCAAGGCTTCCCCAAAGGGACCCATGCAGGTGGATGTCCTGCTGCTCTTTTGTCCAGACCTCTGTTAGCTGCTGTGGACAGTAGCTACCAGCCAAGCTGATGGAAAAAAACTGTTTTGAATGAAGAGTTTCACTTAAAACACGGACCGGACCGGCACGGTGGCTCACACTTGTAATCACAGCACTTTGCGAGGCTGAGGAAGGTGGATCACGAGGTCAGTAGATCGAGACCATCCTGGCTAACACGGTGAAACCCCGTCTCTACTAAAAATTACAAAAAAATTATCCGGGCGTGGTGGCGGGCGCCTGTAGTCCCAGCTACTCCGGAGGCTGAGGCAAGAGAATGGCGTGAACCCGGGAGGTGGAGCTTGCAGTGAGCCAAGATCGCACCATTGCTCTCCCGCCTTGGTGACAGAGCGAGACTCCATCTCAAAAAAAAAGAAAAAAAAAAATACAAAATTAGCCAGGCGTGGTGGCTCATGCCTATAATCCCAGCTACTCGGGAGGCTGAGGAGGAGAATCGCTTGAACCCAGGAGGCGGAGGTTGCAGTGAGCCGAGATCACACCATTGCACTCCAGCCTAGGCAACAAGAGCGAAACTCCGTCTAAAAAACAAAACAAAACAAAACAAAACAAAAAAAAAAACGTGGATCTAGAGCAAGCTATCTTGGGCCATGATGTGATTTAGGAATAGTATCCATTCATTGAAGAGCAACAGGACAGAGTGTGACCTATGCACAACATACTAATCCTGGGCTGCCTGCCTAGATGTTGATGTGTGAAAAAAGCTTGGGTTCGTTTACATATTCTGGCACTCGCTGCCAGACATAACTCTAATTAATAAATTTTCACCTCAGAAAGAATCATCCTAAATGTGCATGCACTTAGCAACAGAGCTTCCAAGTACATGGAACAACTGTGGATAGAACTGAAAGGAGAAGTTGTCAAATCCACAGTTATAGCTGGAGACACAACATTCCTCGCTCAGTAATAGATAGAATGAGTGGACAGAAATTAGCAAGGATATAGAAGAGCCGAACCACATCATCAACAACTGGATCTCATTACCTTTATAATACAATCCACAACAATATCAGAATACACATTCTTTTCAAGTGCTCATGGAACATTCACCAAGATAGACCATATCTTCGGTGTATCCCTTAACCATAATGCACTATAAATCAACAAATGAAAAGTAATGGGAAAATCTCCAAACACTTGAAAACTAAACAACATATTTCTAAATCACTCATGGATCAAAGAAATCTCAAGGGAATTAGAAAATATGTTGAACAGAACAAAAATGAAATTTTTTCCTAACAAAATTTGTAGAATACAGCTAAAGAAGTGCTTAGAGGTAAATTCATAGCATTAAGTACTTGTATGAGAAAAGAATAAGAAAGTTCTTAGCTTAAGAAACTAAAAAAAGAGCAAAATAAACTCAAAATTGACTCAAAGCAAAATAGAAGAAAGAAAATTATAAAGAAGATAAATTGATTAAACAGAAAAATTAGGGAAATCAATGAAACTAAATGCAGGTTTGTTGAAAAGATTGATACACCTCTAGTAAGAGTGTCAAAAAATTATAATAATAAGAGAAACTGGCCAGGCATGGTGGCTCTTGCCTGTAATCCGAGGACTTTGAGACACCAAGGTGGGTGGATCGCTTGAGCCCAGGAGTTTGAGACCAGCCTGGGTAACGTGGCAAAACCCCACCTCTACAAAAAATACAAAAATTAGCTAGACATGGTGGTGCACACCTATAGTCCCAATTACTCTGGAGGCTGAGGTGGGAGGATCACCTGAGCCCAGGAGGTTGAGGCTGCAATAAGTCCCACAATCGCACCACTGCACTCCAGCCTGGCAACAGAGTGAGACTCTGTCCAAAAAGAGAAAAAAAGAAAATAAGAAAAACTACACAAATTACCAATATCCAGAATGAAATGGGGGGATATCACTACAAGCCCCACATACACTAAAAGAATAATATGGGAATATTATGAACAACTCTATATGTGGAAGGTCAACCACTTAGATGAAATAAACTCATTCCTCAAAACCCATGAAATACCAACTTATCCAATATGAATTAGCTGACATGAATGGTGCTACATCTATTAAAGAAATTGAATTTATAGCGAAAAATCTTCTGAAAAAGAAATCTCCTGGCCTGGATGGTTTTACTGGATAATTTTACCAAATAGTTAAAGAAGAAATAACACTAATTCTACATAATCTCTTCCAGAAAATAGAAGAGGAGAACTTCCAAACTTATTTTATGGGCTCAACATCACCCTGAGACCAAAATCAGACAGTAAAAATAAGAAAAACTACAGACCATCCCCCATGAAAAGTATAAAGAAAAAAGACCACATGATCGTATCAATTGATGCAGAAAAATCATTTGACAAAATTCAGCATCAAAATATGACTTTTTTAAAAAAGTCTCAGTAAACTAGACATAGACAGAAACTTCCTCAAGTTGATAAACAGCATCTACCAAAATCCTGCAGTCGACATTATACTTAATGGTGAAAAACAGAATGCTTTGTCCCTAAGATAGAGAAAAAGAAAAAAATGAGTCCTCCCACCACTTCCAATCAATATTATACTGGAAGTCCTAGCCAGTACAGTAAGGCAAGAAATGAAAAAGGCATATAGATTAAACAGGGAAAAGAAAAACTGTCCCTATTTTAGGTGACAATAATTGCCTATACAAAAAATCCCAAGGAATTTGCACACACACACACACACACACACACACACAAAGCCCTGTGGCTAATAAGTGACTTTATCAAAGTCACAGGATACAAGTCAACACACAAAAAACAACTGTACTTAAATATATTCACAATGTACAATTGGTGAGCAACATTAAAATATATTTACCACTGCTCCAAAAAATTAAATACTTAGATGTAAGTCTAACAAAATATTACTGGATCTGTATGATGAAAACGACAAAATGTTAAGGACAGGTATCAAATAAGACCTTACTAAATGAGATACATACTGTGTTCATGGGTTGGGAGACTAAACATAGTAAAGATGTCAATTCTCCCCAAAGTTTTCTATAAATTTAGCACAATTCAAACCAAAATCCCAGCAGAAATTTTATGTATATATAAATATACATATAAACATATAGAGAAAGAGATAGAAAGAGAGAGAGGGGGGAGCTGATTTTGAAATGAATATGAAAAAGCAAATAAACCACAACAGCTGAAACAATCTTGAAGACAAAGAATAAAATTGGATGTTTTAGGAGTTGCTATAAAGCTACAGCAATCAACACATTGTGGTACTGGTGGAGAGAGACACACATCCATCAGTAGAACAGGGTAGAAAGAAAGTCTTGAAATAGTCACACAAACATGGCCAAGTGATTTTTGATAAAGGTACCAAAGCAATTCAATGGAGAAAGGATAGTCTTTTCAACTAATGTGAACAGGGGTTGACTCCAGCTCAGAGCTGGAAAACCTGTTTCCCAAATTGTGTGTCCTGGAGTTGATAAGGAAAGACAACAACACTAATGGTGTTGGAACAACTGGACATCTATATGCAAAAAATTAACCTTGACGTCAATCTCACAGCTTACAGAAAAATTAACATAGAAGGCATAATAGACCTAAATGTAGAAAATGAATCCATAAAACTTGTAGAAGAAAACACAGGAAAAATATCTTCCTGACCTGAGGTTAGGCAAAAAGTTCTCAGACATGACACTAAAATACAGTTCACAAAACAAAAAAAGTGATAAATTTGACTTCATCAAAATTAATAATTGTTGGTCTACAAAATACTTTATTAAAAGACAAACTATATGCAAGGAAAAAAAATTTGCAAACCATATATCTGGTTAAGAACTTAACCAGAATATATAAAGAACTCTCAAAACTCAACAGAAAGCAAGAAACCCAAGTTTTAGAAATGAGCAAGACTTAGACACTTCCCCGAAGAAGATACTCGGATGACAAATAACTACATGAAAAAATGATCAACACCACTAGGCATTAAGTAAATACAAATTAAAACCATGATCAGATGCCACTACACACAAATTAGAGCAGGTCAAATAGAAAACACAGACAATACCAGATGTTGGCCAGAATGCAAAATGGTACAGTCACTCTAGAAAATGCTTTGGCAGCTTCTTCCAAATTTAACCCTACATCTTATGACTCAGTGATCACACTCCATGATATTTACCCTAAAAAATTAAAGCTCATGTTTACACAAAAATCTGTATGTGAATGTTTATAGCAGCTCCATTTATAATTACCAAAAAACTGGAAGCAACACAAATGTCCTTGCATGGGTGAATGGATAAACTGTAGGAACATCCATACACTGGAATACTACTAGCAATAAAAGGAATAAACTATTGATACACACAATCACATGAATGATGTGGGGGTTGGGGGTGTTTCTGGGGCAATGAGCTATTCCTTGATTTGGTGATACATTAAGTTTGTTTTATAATTATTCACACAACTATATATGCTTAATGTTCATTTGTATGTATATTTTATAATTAAAAAGAAAACTGAAGAACCCAAAATTCTGTCAAAGTCAAATATCTTTAGACAAATCTTGAGGACAAAGGGAATGGAAATTCCATCAAAGTGGTGCAATGACCTGAGTAGGAGTTTACAGATTATAATCTTAACATCATTATGCTGAGGTAAAGAGGCCAGTCCCCAAAGGTTACGTACTGCATGATTCCACTGATATGATACTCTCAAAATGGAAAAATTATAGTGATGGAAAACAACTCAATGGTTCCCTGTGGTTAGGGCTGGGAAGAGCATGTGACTGAAAAAGGGACCCCCCAAGGAAGATTTGTGGGGTGACAATACTGTTCTTTATCCTGATCATGGTGTTGGTTACATGAATCTGTACATATGTTAAAATTCACAAATTGTACACAGAAAAAATGATGAGTTTTGCTATAATAATAATTGATAATGATAAGAATCTAAAATAATAATGAGTTTGAGATGAATTTGCCTGTCTCTATCTCAACGTCCCAAAGTTATCTCCAGATGGGAATATTCATTTTCCCCATCAAAACAGGAACTTCAAGCCTGTGGTTTAGATGTGTTTTCAAATACACAAATTGCTTTTGAATTTTTATTTTGAATGAAAGGTTGCGGTGGCACGACATCTGATTTCCTACAGAAGAGAAAACCCGAGACATGGGACTTTCCGAGGCAGTTTGGGAGGGGGCAGGGTGGCTGCAGGGAGAGAAGCTGGGAAGCTGGGAGAAGGCCTGAGAAGTGGGGTGGAGGGGAGCTGCTTTCCCAGACTCTGACCCTCCAGACACGAGACACAAAGGAGGTTGCCAGATTCTGAGAGTAAAAGACCATTTTCCAGCAGAAGGAAAAACTGGGTTGACATTCATTTATCTGACTGAAGAATGGTAAGAATTTACATCCAACCTAACCATTAAAGGACTGATTTAGAAGCACTTAGAAGAAAAATTCATACCTTCTTTAGCCTGAGAAAGTAATTTACCAGGTCTTTATTTCAGTTTTACTCTGCCAATGTTTCTTAGGACCTTAATGATTAACAAGTTCAAAAACAGAATTAGAACAAGATTAATTTTAAATTCAAAAGCCTGGTTCCGTATCACAAGCCAGCTAGATGTGATTAATTCTGCCGCCTAGGGGCTACAAAAAGTTTTCCCCAGGGAAAGAAATAGAAAAGAAAACATTAACTCTTTCATGAAATTATGTGAAAAATATTAATTCATTAATTGAACAAATGTGTATTAATATCTCTCATGTGGCAGGCACTGTCAGCACTGGAAAGGGAACTGTGAACAGGTTGGACAGTCCCCTGCCTCCCCCAACCCACAGTGACGTTGAGGAGTGAGGGCCAAAAAGCCATGACATTTTCCAGTCTTCGTCTGGCGCGCCCCAGGCTACCTGCTCTGCTCCAGCCAACTAGTCAGAATCACACCATTACATCCCCCAGGCCCCAGAGTTACAGGGCAGGCAGGGTTTTTCCTACTGTTTCACTGTCTTCAGCCAGTTTCTCCTTGTCCCACCTCATCGGCTAGGACACACAATTCAGCAAACAGGATTTCCAGTTCTGAGCTGGAGCCAACCCCCGTCACAGCCCACCCTAGCTGAACATCCACCGTGATGCTGGCCTACTCCTGCCCCAACCCTGGCCCAGTGAGATGCAGGGCTGCCGATTCATTAGGAAGACCCTCTGCACTTGAAAGAACAGTGTGGAAACAATCTACAGGAAAGGATCTTCTTGAAAACATGAGTGCTACCCTACAAAGAGCCCAGGAGTGGCCTCTCCTCCCTCCCCCACCCAGTCAAGGCTAGGGGCACAGAGAAACCTGCCTCCTCCCCAGCAGAGGCAATGTGACCCAGGGCCCAAAGTAGAATGCCCTGAGAATGCAGCCCCAGTCCCCCAGCACAATCTGGTCACCTTTAGCCTCAAAGACAAGGATTTCTCAAACAAGACATAAAAAGCACCAGCCATAAAGAAAAGGACTGATAAGTCCAAATCCACTAATGTTAAAACTTTCTGATTCTCAAAAAACGAAGGAAGGAAATGAAAAGATAAGCCACATAATCTGATAAAATATTAGTCAACACATAAATAACAAAGGACCAATTCCAGAAGGTGTTAAATTGAATCATATGAAACTGCCATTTTTTGTAAGTCAAAAATGGTCAAGTGTCAGCAATTTCACATGAAGAATTCTTAAAAATCATTAAGGCGGACAACCCAACAGAAAAAATTGCCAAAGATCTGACACTGTACATAAGAGGAAGCCCAAATGGCCAATAAATAGTGGAAATGTGTTCAACCTCATCAATAAACCAGGTAGTCAAATTAAAACCTCAATAAGATAACATGAACTAAATCCACAATATTCCACAAAAATTA